>NC_000010.11:16222121-16373636 GCF_000001405.40 Homo sapiens | reverse complement strand
TACAGAATTTTAAATACTCATTTAAAATTTGCAAGATCTCTTTGTTCCTGGAGATAGCATGTTGCTATATATCTTCTGAGTACACTGAGTTTATGTAGAATGAGTTCTCATTCTGTGTATGCCTATAAATGGTAATTTTTTAAAATTTGTACTTTTGAAATACAATTTATTGCACCCATTTTAAGTGTACAGTTTGAGTTTTGAAAATTGTATATCGCTGTGTAATCATCTTGACAATCAAGTTAAAGAACATATCCATCACACCAAAAAGTTCTCTTCCCTGCCTAGCTCCTCTCTATACCAGCCCCAGGCATAAACTGATCTGCTTTGTCACTACAGATTAGTTTTGCCTGTTCTAGAATTTTATATAAATGGAAATGTATAGTATTTATTCTTGTAATTTTTTTTGAGACAGTGTCTGAAAAGACCTGTAGGTGACAGGTGCACTAAAACCTCAGACTTCAGGCCAGGCGCAGTGGCTCACACCTGTAATCCCAGAACTTTGGCAGGCCAAGGCAGGTGGATCACCTGAGGCCAGGAGTTGGAGACCATCCTGGCCAACATGGCAAAACCCCGTCTCTACTAAAAATACAAAAATTAGCCGGGCATAGTAGCATGTGCCTGTAATCCCAGCTTCTTGGGAGGCTGAAGCAGGAGAATCGTTTGAACCTGGGAGGTGGAGGTTGCACTGAGCCAAGATTGTACCACTCCACTGCACTCCAGCCTGGGCAACAGAGTGAGACTCTATCTCCAGAAAAAAATAAAAATAAAAATAAAAATAAAAAAACTCCTCAAACTTTACACTACACAGTTGATCCGTGTAACCAAAAACCGCTTATACCCCAAAAGCTATTGAAATAAAAACATAAAAAATAAAAAATATATAAATACCTGTCTGTGCCCAGGCTGGAATGCAGTTGCACAGTCATTGGTTCCTCTAGTCTTGAACTCTTGGGTTAAGAAATCCTCGTACTTCAGCCTCCCAAGTAGCTAGGACCACAGGTGTGTGCCACCACATCCAGCTAAATTTTTAAATTATTTTGTAGGAACAGGATCTCTCTATGTCGCCCAGGCTGGTCTTGAACTTCTGGGCCCAGGGATCCACCTGTCTCAGCCTCCCAAAGTGCTAGGATTATAGGTGTGAGCCACTGCACCCAACCTATTTATTCTTAAGTCTGTTTTTCTATTCATCATGTTTTTGAGATGTATCCTTCTTGTGTGTCTATCATTGGTTTGTCTTTTTTTATTGCTCATTAGAATTCCAGTGTATAAACAGATCACAATTTGTTTATTCACTTGGCTATTAATGAATATTTGAGTTATTTCTAGTTTTTGGCTATTATAAGTAAGCTGGTATGAGCATTCATGAATGTGTTTCTGTGGATATGTTTTTTTTTTCCATAAATACCTGGGAGTGGAATGGCTATATCATAAGGAAAGTATATATTTAGCTTCATTAACTGAAACTTTCATAGTATTGTTCTTACAAACCATAAATATATTTATCCATTGACTTAAATCCTATTTAATTTCTCCCAGTAGCATCTTACAATTTTCAGTATCGAACTTTTACACATCTTTTCTTAGATTTATCTCTAACTTGTTATGTTTGTTGATGCTATTTTAAATAGCATAATTATTTAGACTCTATTTTTTGTTGCTGATCTTTAGAAATACAATTGATTTTTATAAACTAATCTTGGAACCAGCGACCTTGCTGAATTTATTTACTATTTCTAATAATCTTTCTTTCTTTTGCATGTTGTCTGTGAAAATCATTTTAACTACAAATAATGAACAATTTTTTTTGCTTTCTAATTCTAATGCATACCTTATTTTTCTTGCCTTATTACACTAGCTAGACCTATATGATTTTCAGTAAAATTGCTATTAACATCTTTGTCTTTTTCTCAACATGGTGAAAGCTTTGAATATTTCACAATTAACTATGGATTTGGGGGAAACATTGTCAGATTAATTAAGTCTCTTCTATTCTTAATTTGGTAAACATTTCTTTCTTATCATAAATAAGTATTGAATTTCCACAAATGCTTTTGGGGGTTTATTTACCTGATTATCTTTTGTAGAACTGTAATCTCTAGATTCATTTAAAAATTCATTTTTTAAGAACCTACTGGTACTTTATGTCTCCACCATCATTTGGATAATTATTTAATTTGCTTTCTTACTTATTTGCACATTTTCCCCAAACCACTGAGTAAACTCTTATTACGATGCTGAGTTTAAAGAAAGGTATTTTTTTAAATTTACATTTTATAATTTTTATAAACTTTGATTAAAATCACTTTTCGATTTTTTTTTTTAATAGAGTCTCACTCTGTCACCCAGGCTGGAGTGCAGTGGCAGGACCTTGACTCACTGCAACCTCCGCCTCCTGGGTTCCAGCAGTTCTCCTGTCTCAGCCTCCCAAGTAGCTGGGACTACAGGTGTGCGCCACCTTGCCTGGCTAATTTTTGTATTTTTAGTAGAGGTAGGGTTTCCCTATATTGGTCAGGCTGGTCTGAAACTCCTGACCTCAGATGATCCACCTGCCTCAGCCTTCCAAAATTTTGGGATTACAGGCATTAGCCACTGAGCCCAACTGCTTTTCATGTTTTTTTTCTTTTTGTGGGTAATAAAAGCATATGTTTTGCAAGGTGTGGTGGCACACGGCTGTAATCCCAGCACTTGGGGAGGCTGAGGCTGGAGGATCACTTCAGCCCAGGAGTTTAAGACCAGCCTGGGTAACATAGCAAGACCCCATCTAAAAAGAAATGTATATCTAAACTCTCAAACCTATTTATATTTTTGATTTGTTACAATCTGTATGAGTTGTTTTATTACTGTGAACCTACAACTCAAATAATTATTACACCTAATTGTAGAACGAGTGATTAACAAAGTAAGTGTGAATTATATGTAACCAAAAATAGGGAGATAAAAATTGGTAAAAATATTCTTTCAAAAATATATAGTTACGTTCTTATTTCTAGTGCACTCAAAATGTGAAATTCTTTGACCTTTGGGCTCAGTCTGATGCTTATTTTCAGAGGCCCCATTCAATGGTAAACAGGTTCTCAGATGGAGATGAGCTTCCAGGAGGTTTATTAGGAAATTTACATGTATGAAAGGTAGGGAAGCCAAATGGGATCAATGGAGAAGTCCAGCTGCAACACAGCCATAATAGAGAGCTCAGTGATTCCCACAGGAACTTCTAAACTGAGATGTCTTCAGTGTCACCCCACCTTGAGGCAAGGAGTCAAGACTTGCCACTCCTCTTTGGGGCAGTCACTGGAAATGGGCTTCCCTCTGGAAGGCATGCAACCTTTGACCAAGGGCAGTTCCTGGAAAAGGATCAGTGCTGGGGATTCTGTCATCAATATTTCCAGCAGTTGGAGAGTGAGTCCTTCAATTCTGATGGGGAGATCTGGGTAGCACAGCCCAACGTCCACTACACCTCAGTGTTTAAGAAGATAGTATATTAGGCTTGGCATGGTGGCTCTTGCCTGTAATCCCAGGACTTCAGGAGGCTGAGGTGGGAGAATTACTTGAGCTTAGGAGTTTGAGACCAGCCTGGGCAACATTATGAGACCCCATCTCTACAAAAAAAAAAAATTGTTAAAAAGAAGATATGATATTAAACTAAATAATTTAGAATTGGGTTAATCCATCTTTCTTTCTTTGTTTTTGAGATGGAGTCTCGCTCTGTTGCCCAGGCTGGAGTGCAGTGGCTTGGACTTGGCTTACTGCAACCTCCGCCTCCTGGGCTCAAGCGATTCTCCTGCCTCAGCCTCCCGAGTAGCTGGGACTACAAGCACACGCTACCGTGCCTGGCTAATTTTTGTATTTTTAGTAGAGTTGGCGTTTTGTCATGTTGACCAGGCTGGTCTCGAACTCCTGACCTCAAGTGATCCGCCCACCTTGGCTTCCCGAAGTGTTGGGATTATAGGCATGGGATTATCTTTCTTGATAATGCTTTGATTTTGTTTATATAGTGACCTACAATAGTTTCTACTGTGCTATGGTGTAAAGAGGTGGAAATGAGAGTTGGAAGGCTGTTTTTTTTCATTTTGTTTTTTTCATTTCAGTTCTGCTATTTTGCACCTCTCTGTGTACTTTTAAGTATGAAGTATGGTCACTTAAGGCATCTGCATCTTGGTTTTTCTGTGAAATGAAAAGAATAGTATACTTTAAAGTCGAGAGGCATGAGAAATTCGTAAACTGTTACCTTATACTTTGCTTTTGTATTTTTGCCGAAGAATTTTCCAATAGACGTTTGTAGATTATTTACTTTAGTTATTCACAAACCAAATCTCATGGAGTGACTTGAAAAATATTTAATTGCACTATTTTAGAAGCTGGGTGAGATGGCTGATTCTAAGGACCTCTGAATAACTGAATTAGTCTCACATATTGACTTTCTGTATAATACATAGGAACTAAAAGGCAATGGCCATTTTAATAGGACACCTACTTGAACTCTGAAGAGCCCTGCCCTAGGGGTTAGCATTCTAGTTGGTTTCACAGGAAAGGTATGTCTTTAATAGAAGACCAAATGGACTCTGAAAGTTGATATTATTACTATTCAGGGATGCAGTTTTGCACTCAAACACAAATATCAACATAAATAGACACATGGAGTAGTCCATGCTAGTGAGTTACTAATTTCCAGGAAAATGCCTCCTAAAATTTCCCTGCTGAAGGCTGCATGGCGGCTCTTCTTTGAGTAATCTTTTCCTCGTCTTATATTTGCAGTAATGACTCTTTTCCAATGGGACATATGTGGTCGTCTTTCTTTTTCTGTGGCATGATTATCAATTCATAAGCAGTGGCTGTTTGAGGCTGAATTTTAATTTCCCCTGGACTAAGCTGGATATTTTTCCTGTAGCTGATCCTTAAAGAACATAGCGAACCTGGAGGCTGCAACTAGGTTCAGAAGGTGAAGTGCAGTGGGGGAAATCCACCTGGAGTTAAAAAAAACAGCTAGTTGATTTGTCTTCCTCGCTTTGTTGTTCTATGTGACTGTGAGATGTGTTACATCTCCTAAAATGTCCACTACATATACTTTCTCTCCCCCTCCCTGCCCCTGAAATGACATTATGAGATTTCCTCTTGTATGCAAGTTAGTTAATAGCTAAATTTCATCAAAATCAATTTGTGAATAAGTAAACACCTCATAATAAATAACCCACTTTCGAAGTACATGTTTTCTGGGATTGATCTAACAGCATCCAATAAGTTCTGCCAATATCATTTCACATTAACTTCTGTCATGTTTAAATGCTTTTACAGGCTAATGGAGCAGTTTGTAATTTTGCCATACCTACGCTATTACTCAGACACATGGCATATGATGGATAAATAAGACGTCCTCAAATGTATTTGCATTAAATGTTCGCTAGGGGTTTCCTGTCTTACTGCCCCCACTCCCAGAAGCTACCCTGGGAGATGAATGTGCCAGGATAAGTTATCTGGGGCTCATAAAGTCTTTTCCAGAAGATTGAAATAAAGTCAGTGCTTGCAGAAGACAAATCAATTGTGACATTTCTGAATAGAGTGCGATGCATTTAATTAGCACAAGACATGCTAGCAAATGCTGAATTACCCAATAAATCACTGGATGCTGGAACCCATACAGAGCGGGGAATCAGCTGTCTTGTGAGATGTACAGCAAGTGATAATAGGGAATCTGGCCATTTGTATTGTCACTTTGCCTCATTTTCTGCTAATTTTTTCTGTGTTGACATTTGTGCATAGAGCCCCTGTAATTATTCTAAACTATCAGCAAACTCTGTCCCCACCCAGTCTGAGAACATTTTACAAATATTTGCATTTGCAAAGGACATTCACTACTGTTGATGTGATATGGCAGATGTGGCAGTAAGGTCCTCTGTAGAGGGAGAGAGCGTGCAGGTAAAAATCTTCAGCACGGACATACTGAAAAAGCAACTAACGGGGTCATTGTATTGCAGTTCATTGAAAATATTGAAGGTGTTGCTTCAGTCATTTTTAAGTCTCATAAAGATATCTATCAGTTTAGGCAGAAAAGTGGCTCACTTTAATGTTTGACACCTTTGGATTTTTTTTTTTTTTTAACCTGGAACTTAGATGCTACTTCAGTCTGTCTTTGAAATGCTGCAGCTTGGGAGCATTAAGTCTTAAATCCTATGTTTTGGAGATAGAGAATCTGGGAGAAAATTGAAAATGAATTCTAAATGAGTCTTGCTGGCTCTGGAAGGCAAGGTGAAAGGTTCCCTCCAGTGAGGGGCACTTTATGGATAAATTGGTGATTGTCCTAGTGAAGCTTTAATTGAGTAGGTTGCTATGATGGAAACATTAAGGTAGCTTACCTAATGAGCACCAGATCTCACAGAAGATGCCGCTACATACCCACTGCACTCTGCTTTGATACCAGGTTAATTGGTGACATTTCATAGGTAGGTAAAGGTAGATCCAATCAGGTTTTCATTTATAAAAAAATCTCAGGTCTGCAAAGCTGGAGTCTGATATTCTGGAGAAGTGAGACTCCAGAAATACCAGCATCATTTATCTGAAGGCATGGGAGTCTAGCTTGTGTTATTGGGGCTTATGATCACGATGCAGAGAGGAGAAAAAAAAATCTCAGAATAACCAAAGAAGGCTTTGCAAATTATGCAAGGGCCCTTTCCTCCCCGCCCGTCCCCCGCACCCATCCCAGGCATCCTAAAACATGAAAGGGAAAGAGTTCTCCTTACCCCAAGGAATCAACAGGGATGGAGAGGCAGACAAAACTAAAAAGATGGAATTCGTAGGCAACCAACAATAACTGCTGCATGGACACTGTCCAAATGCATCATCACCCACCAGTACCTTTCTTTGTTTTTCTTTACTTATGTCTTGCTCTGTTGCCCAGGCTGGAGTGTAGTGGCACCATCATAGCTCACTGCAGCCTCGAACTCCTGCACTCAAGCAATCCTTCTGCCTCAGCCCCCCAGTAGCTAAGACTATAGGCATGCACCACTATGGCTGGCTAATTTTTGTATTTTTTCTAGAGACAGAGGTCTTACTGTATTACCCAGGCTGATCTCGAACTCCTGGTCTCAAGCGATCCTCCTGCCTTGGCCTCTTTTTCTTGTTTTCCCCATCACTGCTTGGGGAAGATGACGTCCACATCCCCAGGCAGCTGAATCTTGATTAGGGTACACCTGTCCTGGCAATTCCCTTTCCTTAGCCAGGGTCTGGTTGAGGAAAGGGGACGTCAGATAGTTCCGACCAATGGGACGTCTGGGGAAATCTGTTGGACAGTTTCTAGGACAGTTTAATGCTTTAAAATAGAGGTACAGAAAGAGAAATAGTCTTTTCTGTCTCTGAATGAATTTGAATATAGAGAACTCAAGCTGATGTAGTCATTTTTAGCAATGAGAGCACAGGCCCCAGGACCAAAGCTAGCACCCTGAGGGTGAAAGGACTCATAGGGTGACCAACCATCCAGGTTTATCTCAGACTAAGGGGGTTCTCAGGACTTCTCATTTGAAGTGCTAAAACCAGGAAAGTCCCAGAAAACTGGGACAAGTTGGTCACTCCAGAAAAGAAAGCGTTGGATGTTTGATGATATCATCACTGCTAAGTTAAGCAGCTCTGTGGAAGGTCTACCTCTAGGCTTCAATCCTTGTGACCAGTGTCTATTGTTCATGCCGTTCTGAGCTGTGTTTTATTTTATGCAGCTGAAAGTGTCCTAATGGCCAATATAGAAGCAATTGTGTTTCAAATAGAAGCCTACACAAAGAGCTGGATGTGGTGGCTCATGCCTGTAATCCCAGGACTTTGGGGAGCTGAGGCTGTAGGATAGCTAGAGCTCGAAAATTCATGACCACCCTGGGCAACATAGTGAGACCTTGTCTGTACTAAAAAATAAAAATAATTAGCTGGGTGTGGTGGTGTGCCCCTGTAGTCCTAGCTACTGTGGAGGCTAAGGAGGGAGGATCGTTTGAGCCCAGGGGTTGGAGGCTGCAGTAAGCTATGATGGCACCACTGCACTCCAGCCTGGGCAACAGAGTGAGACCCTGTCTCAAACCCTACAAATATGAGTGGTGCTATAGTAATAGGAAGATAGGGTCTTTCACATATGCTCTTCTTAATCTTAAACACTTCCTTTATAGTTAACTAATACATGGATATTTATTAAAATGTGTTTAATAGAGAATAATAGTTCATCACCAGCCATATTATGTTGCCTTATTTTAAATTGCTACTCTCTGCTCTTAGAGTGTGATGAATTCTTAGACATACAAATGACCATAAAGCAGAGCAAGCCTGTATTATTGGTGAAATATCTTTTACATCAGCAGCAATAAATGTCAAATGAGCAGGTATGAATTCAAAATGTGAAATAAAGCTTTCATTAGCAGCTTCAGATGATCAAAGCAGCAAGCAGCTTAAGCACTAACAGAAAAGAGACCTCAATATTATCATGTTTGAAAACTTAGATTACTGTCGATTCACCATTAGCTTTCTTTCTTTTGAGACAGAGTCTTACTCTGTTGCCCAGGCTGGAGTGCAGTGGCAGGATGTCAGCTCACTGCAAACTCCGCCTCCCAGATTCAAGTGATTCTCCTGCCTCAGCCTCCAGAGGAGCTGGGGTAAAGTGCCTGCCATCATTCCTGGCTAATTTTTGTATTTTTTTTTTTTTGGTGGAGATGGGGTTTCACCATGTTGGTAAGGCTGGTCTTGAACTCCTGACCTCAAGTGATCCTCCTGCCTTGGCCTCCCAAAGTGCTGGGATTACAGGTGTAAACCACTGCACCCAGCCACTATTAGCTATTAATTGTCTGGAGATTTCTTACTCTGTGCTTCCAGGGAGAAGGGTGCTACTAGAAGTCTGTCTCAACGTCTAAGCAACCATGAGGCAGAGACTTGTCTTCTTCAATGTGTCCCTTACTTAATTTTATCACAAATACTGAGGAGTTTATTTGTAGAGTGATTGTTAAGTACTGGCCTTGCACATGACCTCGGACAACCAATTTCATCATCTCTTTAAACACAGAAGAATAGTAGAAATTCACGCCAACAGAATTGCTTAATTGCCTAGGTATCATTGTAATTGCAACTTGGAAAAAGCCCTAGAGATAATTGGGCATTATAACATTTGACAATAGAAGTTCTGTTTAGCCTGGTGCAGTGGCTCATGCCTGTAATCCCAGCACTTTGGGAGACCGAGGTGGGAGGATCACTTAAGCCCAGGAGTTCTAGAGCAGCCTGGGCAACATAATGAGACCCTGTCTCTACAAGAAATCCTGAAAATTAGTTGGGCCATGGTGATGGGTGCCTATAATCCCAGCTACTAGGGAAGCTTAGTCAGGAGGATTACTGGAGCCCGGGAGACCGAGGCCGCAGTGAGCCATGATCATGCCACTGTACTTTAGCCTGGGTGACAGAGTGAGACCCTGTCTCAAAAAAAAAAAAAAAAAAAAAAAAGTTACTAGAAGTTTTGGTCCAGGATACTATCTTAGTACCTTGGGATCCATTTCCATCCATTGCTCCTATAAAATGTGCGATGATACCACTCGAGAAATGAGGAAATGGTGTTGGCAATAGGACCATCGGCACACTGACAGCACTCAGCTGTTAATGTCCCTTTGTCAGAGCTGGATGGTGGCAGATTTCAACGCCTGGTGAGTTGAGGCTCTGAATCAAAGTGAACCGCTAGGACTTGTGATCCACAATCAGGGATGACAGCATCTAGGGGAAATCCGCAGCGGACAGAAGGAGGTCTCACGCTCAGCAGAAGGATATATAATTGTACCTTGTAATTTTTCCAACTTTAATTGGACAATTCTCCTTTTAAAAAGATAAGAATGTTTAAAGGAATCCAAACTAAGCCTTTCTTGTGTCTTCATATTTTCCTTTTTCAGACCAAAACAAACCTAAACCTGCTAGCAAGAGTATCTGATTTCCACAATAATGTTTTCAAAAATTGCTGGTTTTTTTTTTCTTTTTTTGTTTTGTTTTTAAGATGAGGTTTCTCTGTGGGCTGGTCTCAAACTCCTGGGCTCAGTGGATCCTCCCTTCTCAGCCTCCGTAAAAGCTAGGGCTATAGGCACTCACCACGCCCAGCTAAGTTTTATTATTTTATCTTTTATTTTTATTTTTTTATAGAGATAGGGGACTTGCTATGTTACCCAGGCTGGTCTTGAACTTGGGATAAAGCAATCGTCCTTCATCAGCCTCCCAAAGTGCAACAATTCCAGGCGTGAGCCACTATGCCTGGCCCAAAATTGCTGCTTTGTAATTATTAAATTAATGACTTGCCTTGCCTTGCAGTAAGGCTGTTTCTTGCAAAAACTTTTCTCTGATTAAAAGATGTGGTTACAAATGCTTGATTAATTTGTCATTCTTCACTTAATGTTTCTGGAGAAGCTTCACTCTGCCTCTCTAATTCTCTTTAAGGATGAACCCACCAAGCACTCTGGGTATACCCCATAATAAGTACATATTCCTCTATAAAAGAACCAGAAATTAAAAATCAAATATCAAATCAGGTATCACTTCTGGAAATACTTAGGAAAGGATCATATAAATCATTTATAATAGCCTCCAAAAAAAATTAGAAGAATTCTGAATTTTCATCTAAACCAGCATGCCCTTTTTTCCTTGAAATGAGATAGTGATGCATAGATGCTTAGACTTAGAGCATGGCTTTTGAGATCCTGCAGACTCTGAATTCAAATCCTTCGCCACTTGCCTGTGTGACATGCGTCAAATTACTTAAATTTTCAAATCTTCACTTCTGCTCATTTGAACATTGGAGTCATAATACCAACCAAATGGGGTTTTAAATTAGATGATGTAAAGGAATTAGCAGTGTCCAGCACATAGTGGTCAATAAATGGTATCAATGTAATAATAGTGTAACCACCCAGTGGGTTCACCTTGCCTGTTGCCTAGACAGAGCCAATTTATCAAGACAGGGGAACTGCAATAGAGAAAGAGTAATTCACACAGAGTCAGCTGTGCAGGAGATCAGAGTTTTATTATTACTCAGATCAGTTTCTCTGAGGATTCAGGGATTAGAGCTCTTCAGGGTAACTTGGTGGGTTGGGGAAGGCCATTGAGTTGGAAGTGCTGATTGATTGGGTCAGAGATGAATCATAGAGAATTAAAGCTGTCCTCTTATACTGAGTCCGTTCCTGGGTGGAGGCCGCAAGATCAGATGAGCCAGTTTATCGATCTGGGTGGTGTACTTGATCCATCAAGTACAGGATCTGCAAAATATCTCAAGCACAGATCTTAGGAGCAGTTTAGGGAGGGTCAGAATCTTGTAGCCTCCAGTTATATGACTTCTAACCCATAATTTCTTTGTGCGTGTGTGTGTGTATGTGTGTGTGTATGTCAGGGTGTTTCTCTGTTGCCCAGAGAAGTGCAGTGGTGTGATATCAGCTCACTGCAACCTCAGCCTCCCAGGCTCAAGTGATTCTTCTGTCTTAGCCTCCTGAGTAGCTGGACTACAGGCCCATGCCACGATGCCTGGATAATTTTTGTATTTTTGGTAGAGATGGGGTTTTACCATGTTGGCCAGGCTTGTCTCGAACTCCTGACCTCCAGTGATCTGCTCGCCTTGGCCTCCCAAAGTGCTGGGATTAGAGGCGTGAGCCACTGTGCATAACCCAGATTTGTGCTATCTCTAACTCCACAACCTGTTCACTTGACTCCATGTTGCTCTCTCAAGCTCTGCACGTTGACCAACCAGCTAATCTCCTTGTGAAATCGTCACCTTTATCACATATTTTGGAACATTTTTCTTATTGTTATGAGTCTTGTAGCCAATGCATTTTGCTATTGCCATTGGCTATTTTTGTTTTCCTACTTAGAGATTCGATTATCCTTTTCAGATACGTGTGATAAATAACACAAACTATTCTTTCTCCCCATGACAAGTCATTATCAATATCAGAGAGATAAGAAAAAAAAAAAACAATCAGAACTTTTTCTTGCTTTTCTTCCCCTGGGTCATTTTAAAGGAGAGAATTAACTACTCTGTTAGTTGCCTGGGACAGCCATAACAAATTAACAAAAACTGAGTGGCCTAAAACAATGGAAATGGATTCTCTAACGGTTCTGGAGGCTGGAAGTCCTAAGTCAAGGTGTTGGCAGGGTTGATTCCTTCCAGGAACTCTTAGAGAGACTTTGTTCTAGGCCTGTCTCCTGGCTTCTAGAGGTGGCTGGCAGTCCCTGGTGTCTCCTGGCTGTGGATGCATCACTCCAATATCTCCCTTCATCTTTACCTGGCCCTCTTCCCTGTGTATCTCTGTGTATCTTCTAGTCTTCCTCTTCCTCCTCCTCCTCCTCTTCTTCCTTCTTCCTCCTCCTCCTCCTCTTCTTCCTCCTCTTCTTCCGTTGTTGTCATCTTGCTCTGTGGCCCAGGCTGGAGTGTGCAGTGGCGGGATCATAGCTCACTGTAGCCTTGAACTCCTGGGCTCAAGTGATCTTCCCACCTCAGCCTCCCAAGCAGCTGGGACCACAGGTGTGCACCGCCACACCCAGCTAGTTTAATTTTTTTGTACAAATGGGGTCTCACTGCATTGCCCAGGCTGGTCTTGAAGTCCTAGGCTTAAGTGATCCTGTTGCCTCAGCCTCCCAAAGTGCTGGAGTTACAGTTGTGAGCCACAGGCCAAATCTCTCCCTCCTTCTAAGGACACTAGTCATTAGATTCAGAGCTCACCCTAATCCAAGATGACCCCGTTTTAGCTTCATTACACCTACAAAGAATTTATTTTTAAATACCATCATTTTCTGACTTTCCTAGTGGACATTAATTTTGGAGGGACACTAATCAACTCAGCACAACCACAAACAAATGTTCACTTTTTAAGAAGGGTAAGTAATTAAAGTGAGTTGGTAGCAGTTTTCTGAAGAATCTGCCACTGAAGTGGCCCTTTGTATTTGCCTCTATTATAGTCTGGCCATTGTACCACAATGTAGCAGTCTCTCCTTGTGAGGTATCACCCAGAGTTCTTTGTCTCATGACCAAGAGAATTAAGGAGCCAGGACACAAAGGGTGAAGTTGGAGCAAAAGTAATATGCAAAAGAAGAAATCTCTCTGCCACAGAAAGGGCACCTGGAAGATGGTTTCCATTTTTACAGTTAACTGCAAAGGCTTTTTATAAGAAACCAATGAGGGTGGGCATCTCATGTGCATAAGGTGCAAGTTTCTGGTAGCTCCACCTCCTGGTGGGCATGTGGGCCCTTAGCTTCAGTTACTCCATATTGCTTTGTTCCCCTTACCATGCATGTGTTAGGGGACGGAATTTCTATTGTGGGCATGTCTGGACAACTCGTCTGTGTAGCCTTTATCTGTTTGGCTCTAGGCAAGTCTTAGGCAAGCCCCCCTGTGAAAATTCTCTTACCTGTGCCTGCAAGCTGTTCTTTTGTTTAAAGAATTCAACCAAGGACCCGCCCTCACTGCCTGACCAGTTTCTTCTTTTCTCCTCTCTCAACCCCTCCCCCATTCTCAGATTCCCATTGTCATCATTATCACCCCACATAAGATTATAGTGTACAGAGCTAATGTTTTGAAATGTGTAATTTGATCTGTTTTGCTTTCTTAAGTACATACATAAATGTGGCTCTAACTGGCTTGGGTCATGTATCTTCTGGGGGTGGGAGACGGGAGATAGAGAAGAATTAGCAGTTGTTGGCTGGGCGTGGTGCCTCACGCCTGTAATCCCAGCACTTTGGGAGGCCGAGGCAGGCGGATCACCTGAGGTCGGGAGTTCAAGATCAGCCTGACCAACATGAAGAAACCCCATCTCTACTAAAAATACGAAAAAAAAGCCCGGGCGTGGTGGCTCATGCCTGTAATCCTAGCACTTTGGGAGGCTGAGGCAGGCGAATCACTTGAGGTCAGGAGTTTGAGGCCAGCGTGTCCAGCATGGCAAAACCCTGTCTCTACTAAAAATACAAAACTTAGTCAGGCGTGGTGGCAGGCACCTGTAATCCCAGCTACTCGGGAGGCTGAGGCAGTAGAATTACTTGAACACGGGAGGTAGAGGCTGCAGTGAGCCGAGATCTTGCCATTGCACTCCAGCTTGGGTGACAGAGCAAGACTCTGCTTCAAAAAAATAAAATAAAATAAAATATAAAAATAAAAAAATAAAAATGCAAAAAAAATTTGCTAGGCATGGTGGCGCATGCCTGTAATCCCAGCTACTCAGGAGGTTGAGGCAGGAGAATCGATTGAACCAGGGAGGCGGAGGTTGTGGTGAGCCGAGATTGTGCCATTGCACTCCAGCTGGGCAACAAGATTGAAACGCTGTCTAAAAAAAAAAAAAAAGGTTTGTTAAAGGAATAGAAATAAGGTCAGCTTTTGACTTTCAAAATAGGCCTTTATAGTCAAAATTGTCTTGTTAACTTACCTACTTGTTGGAAAGGAAATTACTAAACTCTTTTTGCACTAATCTTTTTATATTTTGGCACATTAATTGCTAAACCAGGGATTCAGGTCACAGAGTACTTGCAAAATACATAGAAAATACCAGTATCTGTGATTAATGCTTAGCTAGGCATCTGGAATTGGCAAGAAGGAGGTGTATAAAATCACCTCTGTTTCCTGTGTTATAGGAAGAAAATTGGGAGAGAAAGGAGAGTTAAACAAGATACTGGTCAAAAATATCTTCTAGGTAGGATGAAAAAGTTTGTGATAGACAATCATTTCTGCCATAATAAAATGGGCAAATATAAAATCTAAATATTTTAAAAGCCAGCAGAGGGTGCAAAGAAATGTAAAGGAACTGTTACTGGATGTCACCACTTACCCAAAATTAGCCTTTGGGTTGGAGGTTTCCTTAGTATTGTCTCTTCCATGGTCCTTAGATGTTACTGAAAAGGGGTCCCAATCCAGACCACAAGAGAGGGTTCTTGCATCTCAAGCAATAAAGAATTCAGGGAGAATCCGTAAAGTGAAAGCAAGTTTATTAGGAAAGTAAGGGAAGAAAAGAATGGTTACTCCATAGGCAGAGCAGCCCCGAAGGCTGCTGGTTGTCCATCTTTATGGTTATTTCTTGACTATATGCCAAACAAGGGGTGGATTATTCATGCCTTCCCTTTTTAGACCATATAGGGTAACTTCCTCATGTTGCCATGTCATTTGTAAACAGTCATGGTGCTGCTGGGAGTGTAGCAGTGAGGATGACCAGAGGTCGCACTTGTTGCCGTCTTGGTTTTGGTGGGATTTGGCTGCTGCTTTTCTGCAACCTTTTTATCAGCAAGGTCTTTATGACCTGTATCTTGTGCCTACCTCCTGTCTCATCCTGTGACTAAGAGTTTCTTAACTTTCTGGAAATACAGTCCAGTGGGTCTCAGCCTTATTTTACCCAGTCCCTACTCAAGATGGAGTTGCTCTGGTTCAAAGACCTATGACAGGACTGCATTCCAGAGAAGGGTAAACCTTTTCTAGGTGAGAGAAAGCTGTAGCCAATTTCATCCCAGGGCAAATTAACAAATTAGGACATGGACAGGCCAATTATTTGATCTGCCACAGGCAGAGGACTTTCTGGGGGTAATGAAATACCAGCAGAACTCGAAACCATTGTGGGTAGGCTGGTGACAGATTAGAACATAGAGGAACTTCAAAGGCACAGCTAGTTTTTCCTCATTTCTGTTTTTCCCCCTCCCTCAGAATTTTGCTGAGTGTGAGTGGCTGTGGGAAGCTGAGGAAAGAGCTGGAAAACAGAGATTGATTGATATACACGGCAAATCTTGCTGTTAAGATATTTGAAACCAGGAGTGAACCAAAAATAAAGTGGCAACCCAGCCTCAACCCAGCGCAGTTCCTGATTGGATCAAAGTAATCAGTTCCTCACCTTGACTGCCAGACAGAAGAAAGGGTATGTCCTCTCCAGGGGAAAATATTACTTAAGTTTCCACAGTTTTAAAATAATAATGTCTGAGATACAATTAAAACAGTATATGAGACATGCAAACAATGATGAGAAATGAGCCAAGAGGAAATATAGTTAAGGGAAGTTGACTCACAGATGATCCAGATGTTGGAATGAACAGATTAAAGACTTGAACAATTATAAATATTTTCAAGAAAATATAAAAAATGAGATAAATGAATGAAAACGTGGAGAGTTTTAAAAACTATGAAATGCTAGTAAAAAACCAAATTGATACTTTAGGACTAAAATATGCAACATCTAAAGTTAAGGATTTATTCAATGGACTTAACAGCAAACTGGACACAGCAGAAGAAAGGACCAGTAAACTTGAAGATAGAGAATAAAAATGATCTAAACTGAAACAGACTGAAAAGAGAATGGAAGAAAATAGCATTCGAGACATGAAGGACAGTAACAAATGGTTTAATACATGTGACTGAAATCACCAGGGTGGTGGGTGAGGGAGGAGAGAGAGAGAGAGAGTAAATACAAAGAGATAATGGCTCAGCCTGGGCAACACGACGAAACCCTGTCTACGACAAATTAGCCAGGCATAGTGGTGCACACCAGCTACTCAGGAGGCTGAGGTGGTGGAATCACTTGAATCTGGGTGGTCAAGGCTGCAGTGAGCTATGATCCTTCCATTGCAATCTATATTTTGTTCAATGGTTTGGGCAAACCAAACCAATGGCACAGGGGCAGTAGTTTGTTGCCCCTGAGCCTGGGCAACAAGGGGAGACCCTGTCTCAAAAAGAGAAAAAAAAAAAAGGGATTAATGGCTGAATATTTTCCAAAATCGATGAAACATACTAACAGACTGAAGATGCTCATCTAACCCCAATCTGGACAAATAGAAGGAAAAGTACACCCTGGCAAATCATCAAATTTCTGAAAGCCAAAGAAAAAGTCTTAAAAGCAGTCAGAGGAGAAAAGATATATTTTATGCTGGGGAACAACAAATGGTTGAAATAAGCCTCTCATCAGAAGCAATGGAAGTCAGAACACAATGGCATTGCTTCTTCAGAGTACAAGTTAAAAAAAGCCCCCAATCCCAGCCCATCCAGAATTCTATATCCGGCCAAAATAAAATTCAAAATGAAGATAATGATTTAGAGAAACATGAGCTGAGAGAATTCTTTGTCAGCAGATCCAATACTACAAGAAATAATATAGAAAATATTTTAGGCTAAATGGTAAATATTCCCATCTGTTGAATAACAGATGTACAGGAATGAATGGAAAACAGCATAAAGGTAACTTGAACATATTTGGAAGATTACTGGCTATCTTAAGCAATGATAAAAATGCAATGATAAAAACATATTATGTAATTTATAACATATAAAGGTAAAATATATGATACTAGCAGCACACAGGGCAGGTGAGTGAAACTATAGTTTTTGTATTGTACATGAAGTAATAAAATAATTCAAGGCAAATAAATAAGGATATGTATAATAATGTCAAGAGTAACCATTGAACAAAATAAATGTATAGCTAAGAAGTAAAAGTAAAGTAAAAAAAAAAGTTTTTAATCCAAAAGGAGGCAGAAAAGGTTGAGTAAAGGAACAAAGAACAGAAGGGATAACTGGTAACCAAATAGCAAGATAGTAGGCCAGGCATAGTGGTTCATGCCTGTAATCCCAGCAGTTTGGGAGGCCAAGGTGGGCGGATCACGAGGTCAGGAGATGGAGACCATCCTGGCTAACGTGATGAAACCCCGTCTCCACTAAAAAAATAATACAAAAATTAGCCAGGCGTGGTCGTGGGCACCTGTAGTCCCAGCTACTCAGGAGGCTGAGGCAGGAGAATGGTGTGAACCTGGGAGGCAGAGCTTGCAGTGAGCCGAGATCGAGCCTCTGCACTCCAGCCCAGCCTGGGTGACAGAGCGAGACTCAGTCTCAAAAAAAAAAAAAAAAAAAAAAAAAAAAAAAAAAAAAAAACAAGATGGTAAACTTAAACTATATCAATAATTAATTGTATTAAGTGCAAAAGGAATTAATACTCCATTACCAGATTGTGTCAGTCCGAATAACAAAACATCACCTAACTATATGCTGTTTACAAGAGGCATACTTCATTTATTTTTTTTTAAGAGACGATGTCTTGTTCTGTCACCCAGGCTGGCAAGAAGTGGCGTGATCATTGCTCGCTAAAGCCTTCAACTCCTGGGCTCATATGATTCTTCCACTCCAGCCTCCCAAAGTGCTGGGATCACAGGCACGCACCACCGTGCCCAGCTAATTTTTAGCTTTTCGGTAGAGATGCAGTCTTGGTATGTTGCCCAGGCTGGTGTCAAACTCCTGGCCTTAAGTGATCTTCCTGCCTCAGCCTCCCAAAGTGCTGTGATTACCGGCATATGCCACTGCACCTGGCCAAGAAGCACATTTTAAATATGAAGATACTGATAGGTTGAAAGTTAAAGAATTGAAAGTAAAAGCTATGTAAGCACTAACTCTAATAAAGTTATTGTCTGATATGGCTATGCTAATATCTGACAATACACTTCAAGATCAAGAACATTGTAAGAAATAAAGAGGAATATTTCAAAATAATAGCATGGTAATTTCATAAAAGTACCCATAAGGACCCCAAATGTGTTTGCTCCTAATAACATACCTTCAAAATTCTATCATCTCATGTGAGCCATCAGCAGGATGTGACATAAAGTATCACACATTCCGATGTCAATTGAGAAAAATGACGAGACAAGTCTCAATCATTTTAGGAGTTTCTTTTGCCAAAGTGAAGGATGCGTGCCCAGGAGACAGATCTATGCCTTTCTCCAGACATGATTCTGAGGACTCCAAATTTAAAGGGGAAAGGGCGGGGTATTGAGAAGTATACGATTTTCATGCAAAAGGGGAATAGGGAAAAATAGTAATTCCTGCCTTTGGTTCAGTGAATCTGCATTTTTTTTTTTAGCATAAGATGACATAGATAAATGGGGCAGAGGGAAAATGCAGGGAATCTGCCTTTTACCTAAGATGACCTAGACTAAATGGGGCAGGGGAGCAATCAGATATGCATTGTGTCTGGTGGGCTGGAGGTGACTGCACCTGTAAGGATAAGATGCCAATTTACATTGCCATGGTGAAGTTTTAACAGAAACACCTTAAAAGATCTTGCAGTTCACTAGGAATTGCCTTGTGGGCAAAATATGGGGGAGGCGTGTAGCTTTTCATCTCGTAGCCATCTTATTTAGGAACCAAAAGGGGGTGGGCAGGTTTGCGTGACCCAGTTCCCAGCTTGACTTTTTCCTTTGGCTTAATGAGTTTGGGGTCCCGAGATTGAATTTCCTTTCACATCTCCTTGATACCTTTTCTTCACATAGCTTGCAGGGCAGCGTGTGTGTTCATGGTTTCCTCACTGGTTAGTACTTTTCAGTCTCTTTTGCCAACATCTCTTCTCTTAGACTTTTTGATACGAGTGTGTTCCAGGGTTCAGTCCCTATTCCTGTTCTCTTCTGAGTCTACATTCACTTCATTGATATTCTCATCCTGGGTAACAGTTTTAACTATTATTGCGACACTAACAACTTCCAAATTTTATATC
The DNA here is from genome assembly GCF_000001405.40 of Homo sapiens. Lineage (NCBI taxonomy): Eukaryota > Metazoa > Chordata > Mammalia > Primates > Hominidae > Homo > Homo sapiens. Next base: position 16,354,164 of record NC_000010.11, on the reverse strand, counting down.
TATAGCCCAAACTTCTCTCTCAAATTCCTGACTTGTATAGCCAAATACCTATTTAAATCTCTGTTCAGTGATCTTATATAATCATCTTAAACTCAACTCGGCCAAAACTGAACTCCAGTTCTTTGGCTCCCGCTGCAGGCTTCCCATATCAGCTGAAGGCAACTATATTCTTTCAGTTGCTACATCTAAAATCCTTGGAATTACTAGTGATTTAGTTTCTTCCTTTCACAGCTCACATGACTCTATCATGAAAATGTATTTAGAATCAGACTCGTTACCACCTCCATTGTTACCATCGTGGTCCAACGTACCATGAACTTGAACTGGCTTTCTGCAGTAGGGTTTTAGTTGACTTCTACCCTTATACCCTACTACACAGAGTTCTTTCAATATAGAAATATATTTCTTTTTCTTTTTCTTTTTTCTTTGAGATGGAATCTCTCTCTGTCACCAGGCTGGAGTGCAGTGGTGCAATCTCCGCTCGCTGCAACTTCTGCCTCCTGGGTTTAAGTGAATCTCCTGCCTCAGCCTCCCAAGTAGCTGGGACTACAGGCATGTACCACCACATCCAGCTAATTTTTGTATTTTTAGTAGAGACGGGGTTTCACCAAGTTGGTCAGGATGGTCTTGATCTCTTGACGTTGTGATCCACCCGCCTTGGCCTCCCAAAGTGTTGGAATTACAGGAGTGAGCCACTGTATCTGGCCAGAAATATATTTCTATATATAAATATATAAAAGTATTTTTTTGAGATGGGGTCTCACTCTGTTGCCCGGGCTGGAGTGCAGTGGTGCAATCTCGGCTCACTGCAACCTCTGCCTCCTGGGTTCCAGCGATTCTCCTACCTCAACCTCCTGAGTAGTTGGGATTACAGGCACATGCCACCACACCCAGCTAATTGTTGTATTTTTAGTAGAGATGGGATTTCACATGTTGGCCAGGCTGGTCTCGAACTCCTGACCTCAGGTGATCCACCCGCCTCAGCTTCCCCAAGTCCTGGGATTACAGGTGTGAGCCACCATGCCCAGCCTAGTTCTAGTATTTTTTTATTGAGCTGAAATAAACATGAAACTAGATATTTTAACCTGTACAGTCCAGTGGCATTTAGTACATTCACAATGTTGTATAATCACAGCCTCTATCAAGTTAAAAAATATCTTCATCTGAAAGGAAAACCCTATACCCACTGAGCAGTCACTCTTCATTTCCTGCTCCCTCCAGACCCTGGCAACTATCAGTGGCTTTTTCTTTCTGTGGTTTTGGTTATTCTGGATATTTTATTTAAATAGAATTAGACAACATGTGATCTTTGTGATTTATTTCACTGATCATGTTTCCTTTTTCTTTTTTTAAAGTTTTATTTATTTTTTTTGAGACAAGAGTCTCACTCTAGCACCCAGGCTGGAGTGCAGTGGTGCGATCTTGGCTCACTGCAACCTCTGCCTCCTGGAATTAAGTGATCCTCCTGCCTCAGCCTTCAGAGTAGCTGGGACTATAAGCATGCACCAACATGGCTGGCTAATTTTTTTTTTTTCTTTTGGAGAGATGGGGTTTTGCCATCTTGCCCAGGTGGGTTTCGCCATCTTGCCCAGGTTGGTCTCAAACTCCTGGGCTTCTGCCCGTCTCAGCCTCCCAAAGTGCTGGGATTATAGGCATGAGCCACTGCGCCTGGTCTTCACTTAAGTTTTGGAGGCTCATTGATGTTGTAGCATGTATCAATACTTCATTCTTTTTCACAGCTGAGTGATACCTCAGGGTATGTCCACACCACATTTTATTTACCCATTCATCCACTGATAGGCATATGGCTTGTTTCCAGCTTTTGACTATTGTGAATACTGCTACTGTGAACAAGTATTTGAGTATCTGTTCTTAATTCCTATTGTTAATATTTTCTTATTTTGAAACCATGACGAACATATAGAAAAATTTAGGCACGTACAATGAACATGTGTTTTCCTGAATCATTTGAGAATACATTGCTGTCCTTATGCCTCAACGCTCCCTAATATCTTAGCAAGTATTTGCTACCAACAAGGACACTTTCCTAAGTAACCATGGTACAGTCACTAGTCCTCAGATCTCATTCGTATGTTCCTGGCCAGGTGCGGTGACTCATGCCTGTAATCTCAACATTTTGGGAGGCTGAGGTGCGTGGATTTCTTGAGTCAGGAGTTCGAAACCAGCCTAGGCAACATAGCAAAACTCCATCTCTAAAAAACAACAAAAAACCCCCACAAAAATTAACCAGGCACGGTAGTGCTCCTGTAGTTCCAGCTACTTGGGGGGCTGAGGCAGGAGGATTGCTTGAGTCCTGGAGGTCAAGGCTGCAGTTAGCCGTGATTGAGCTACTATACTCCAGCCTTGGCAACAGAACAAGACCCGGTCTCAAAAAAAAAAAAAGTTTTCCCATTGTTCTAGTAATAACCTTTATAGCAAAATGATTCAGTGCAGAATCAGGTTGTATTTATTTGTCACGTCTTTTTAGATTCTTTCAGTCTGAAACAGTTTCTTTGATTCATCTAACTTTGACACTTTTGAAGATTATAGGCAGGTTATTTTCTAGAATGCCTCTTAACTTGGGGTTCTGATGTTTCTCCATGATTAGACTCAAATTATAAATCTTGGTCAGGGGCTGGGCGTGGTATCTCATGCCTGTAATCCCAGCACTTTGGGAGGCTGAGGCAGGCATATCATGAGGTCGGGAGTTCAAGAACAGCCTGGCCAACATGGTGAAACCCCATGTCTACTAAAAATACAAAAATTAGCCGGGCGTGGTAGCACATGCCTATAATCCCAGCTACTCAGGAGGCTGAGGCAGGAGAATTGCTTGAACCCGGGGAGGTGGAGGTTGCAGTGAGGCAAGATCATGCCACTGCACTCCAGCCTGGGTAACGGAGTGAGACTCTGTCTCGGTGGCAGGTGGAGGGGTGCGGGGTGGAAATCTTGGTCAGGAATGTCCCAGAAATGGTGTGTGCTCTCAGTTGACACATGATCTCATTTTCTTCCATTGCTGATAGTGTGCATTCTTTTCCCACTTGCAATTAGCAAGGATTTTGCAGGGTTAATTACTGTAATTAATAGTTTTAAAACTATCTTAATATCCCAATAATCAAGCTTTCATCAATTTATCTGTATGGACTTGTGATTTCCTATTTTATTCAATGGGTTATTGATTCTTAAAATTATTATAATACTCAAATTGTCCCATATTTGGCCAGTGGGAACCCCTTCAAGCTAGCTTCTATGTCCCTTTAAGTTGTCATTCTTTTAGTGCTTCTGTGATCTCTAGTACAAGAAAAATGTTCATTTCTTTTTTTTAACTGTTTGTTGAAGTTCTTTTTTTTTTTCTTTCTTTCTTTCTTTTCTGAGACAGGGTCTGGCTCTATCGCCCAGGCTACTATGCAGTGGCGTGATGTCATCTCACTGCAGCCTCTGCCTCCCAGGCTCAGGACATTCTCCCACCTCAGCCTCCCCAGTAGCTGGGACTACAGGCACATGCCACCACCTCCAGCTAATTTTTGTATTTTTTATACAGATGAGGTCTCACAGTGTTGCTCAGGCTGGTCTTGAACTCCTGGGCTCAAGTGATCCACTTGCCTAGGCCTCCCAAAGTACTGGGATTATAGGCATGAGTTACCATGCCTGGCCTCCAGATTCATTTTACCCATTCCTTGCACCAACCCTGGACTCAGCCATTTCTCCAAGGAGCCCCCCATTCCTTATAGTGAAATATAGTACTTAGCACTTAGAACCCATGATCTGGGTACTAGGAGTGCTCATTACTACTGGGGTGTCACTGTTCCTAGTTGCCTCAGTGGACAGAGTCAGGGGATGTATGTATTTGTATAAACACACACATAGGTACCTTGTTTATTTCCATTACCATATATATTAAAAACCAAGAGCCCATACTAATTACTTCTAACACCACGGGCTTTATTATCATTTTCTCCCTTTCATGTTTTTTACTCTTTTCTGTAACCATGAGAAACTTGGCTCCCATTATCTTTAATATATTTCACTGTTTGTAACCACTTTTCCATCTGCATTTCCACCTGCTCCCTTCATAAATACCCTCCTTACCCAACTTGGGCTTAATTCCACTTTCTGGGCTGCTCTCCCTCCCACCCCTCTCCCACACACAGATGCTCTCCTCATCCAGCTTGGGCTCTAATTCCCTGCACCAGACCACTCCTCTATAGAGATTCTGTCTGCAGATTCCCTCTGCAGAACTTCAGCCTCTGCTTCCTCATACTGGGCCACCCATGTGGTGGTTGCCACCTGCTTGGACGCAATGCCAAGGCAACCCTCCACAAAGCAGCCTTCCTGGTTCTACTTCGCCTCTGGCAGCCCAGGTTGGGCAGACTTCCAATCAGCATGCATACTGTCTTCAACCTACTTGGGCTATGATACCTGTCTGGGTCACCAAGAGTCCATCCCCCTATTCTTTTTTTTTTTTTTTTTTTTTTTTTTTGAGATGGAATCTTGCTCTGTTGCCCAGGCTGGAGTCCAGTGGTGCAATCTCAGCTCACTGCAACCTCCACCTCCCGGGTTCAAGCTATTCCCCTGCCTCGGCCTCCTGAGTAGCTGGGACTACAGGTGCGTGCCACCACACCTGGCTAATTTTTATATTTTTAGTAGAGACGAGATTTCACCATGTTGGTCAGGCTGGTCTCGAACTCCTGACCTCAGGTGATTTGCCTACCTCGGCCTCCCAAAGTGCTAAGATTATAGGCATGAGCCACCGCGCCTGGCCCATCCCCCTGTCCTGCTGGTAGCAATGCCTACCTTGCTTTGTGTTACCTAATGGCTTATGGACTGAATTTTTCAAGATGAGGAGGGAAGAGGGAGAGGCATCAGAATGGTCCTTTAAAAACCCACATCAAATCAAAACTGTTATAGTAATTTACATTGCTATGAGGCACCTCATTCCTCTGTATCTTCCTGAAACGGTTCCCTTCTTCATTCAGAGCAAAAGCCGAAGTCCTCATGATAACATGCGTAACCCCCCTGACTGTTGCCTTTTATCTTACTAATGTCCTCCTGCCCCTCTACTCTCCACATGCTTTGCTTTCAGACACCTGGCTTCGTTCCTGTTCCTCAAGTATGTAAGGTAGACTCCTAACTCAGAGTCCTTTGCTGTAGGTGTTTTTTCTGCATCAAACATTCTTCTCCCAGATTCTCTTTCAAATACCTATGCAAATCTTTTTTTCTTAGTGAGACCTAACCTGATGTGTTTGTTTGGTAGGGCTTCCATAATAAAATACTGCAGACAGGATGGCTTCAACAACAGAAATTTATGTTCTCACAGTTCTGGAGGCTGCAAGTTCAAGATCAAGGTGCCAGTGGGGTTGGTTTCTCCTGAGGCCTCTCTCCTTGGCTTGCAGTTGGCTGCCTGCTTGCTGTGTTCCCACACAGCCTTTCCTCTGTGTGAGCATCCTTGGTGTCTCTGGTCTAATCTCCTCCTATTGTAAGGAAACCAGCCAGATCAGACTAGGGCCCATCCTAATGGCATTATTTTAACTTACCTTTTTTAAAGGACCTGTCTAAATACAGTCACACCAGGAGCTAACTACAGCTTCAAATCATGAATTCTATTGTGTCCCCTCTAAGGGGACACAATTCTGCCCATAACAGCTGGCCACCTAATGTAATGTTGAAATTTACATAAAGCTGGCACTTGTAATTCCTGTTACCTTGCATTGTATTTTTATTTCTATAGCTCTGATCAACTTCTACCATAGTATATAATTTGATCAATATATATGTATTTTTATGGTCTGTTTACCTCTACTGGAATATAAGTTCTACAGAGGCTTACAACAGTGCTTAGTATATAGTAAGCATGCCATGCATAGTGTTGAATGAATGAATGTAATTAACATATCCACTTGCTGTTGATGAGCATTTGGGTTATTTCCATTTAGTGCTATTATCAACAATGTGCTGTGAGTATTATTTAAAATGTATCCAGGAATACATATGCACAGGTTCCTATGTAGTTTATCTGTATTAGTCTGTTTCACACTGCTGATAAAGACATACCTGAGACTGCACAATTTACAAAAGAAAGAGTTTTAATGGCCTTACAGTTCCACGTGGCTGGGGAGGCCTCACAATCATGGTGTATGGTAAAAGGCACGTCTCACCTGGAGGCAGACAAGAGAAGAGAGCTTGTGCAGGGAAACTCCCATTTTTAAAACCATCAGATCTCGTGAGACATATTCACTATCATGAGAACAGCATGGGAGAGGCCTGCACTCATGATTCAGTAACCTCCCACCAGGTTCCTCCCATGATATGTGGGAACTGTGGGAGTTACAATTCATGATGAGATTTGGGTGGGGACACAGCCAAACCATATCAATATCCAAGAAGAGAAATTGCTGGGTCACAGGACATGTATATTATATTAGTTTTTTAGAATTACCTTAATAAAGTACCACAAACTATGTGACTTAAAGCAACCAGAACTTTATTTTTTTTCACATTCTGGAGGTTACAAGTCTGTAGTTAAGGTGTCAGCAAGGTCATGATCCCTTTGAAGGCTCTAGAGAGGAATCCTTCCTTGACTCTTCCAGCTTCTGGCACTCCTTGGCTTGTGGCAGTGTCACTCCAATCTCGGCCTCTGTCTTCATGTGACCTTCTTTTTCTCCATGTGCCTGTGTCTCTACATCTGTGTCTCCAAACTTCATTTATTTACTCTTTTATAAGGATATCAGTCACTGAATTAGGGCCCATTCAAATCCAGTGTGATGTCTTTTTAACTTAATTACATCTGCAAAGACCCTATTTCCAAATAAGTTTATATTCACTGATACCCACAGTTAGGACTTGAACATTACTTTTTGGGGGAAATAAATTAAGCCACAACCATGTGTTTATCTACCATAGTAGATAATGCTAAAATATTTTCTAATGGTTGTGCCAGTGAACACTGCTACCAATGATCCTATTCCTCCATACCCTTGCCAACACTTATTGTTATCAGACGTTATAAGTTTAGATCATGTGGTTATTTTGATAGTATCTCATTTATGGTTTAATTCTAGAATTAGGTTGTCAAGTTTCACAAAATAACTGTTGTATTTTGATTTTGATTACATTATAAACCAGTTTGGTAACAATTAATATCTTTATATACTGTCTCCCAATTCATGAACATAGTATATTATGCCATTTATTTAGTCTTCTTTAATGTTGCTCAATAAAGTTGTATAATTTCTCCATTAAAAATAATTTAGGTCCAGATACTTCTTTCTCTAGTTTAGGTTCAGGCATTGCAGGCAGGTCTGCCCTGCAATGCAGCTAAAGTATTACCTGGAACTAACCTGCAGTTAACCTGGAGTGCAGCCACAGAAAATTAAACTACGTGGCATGCCATTATCAGACAGAGGGGAAGGTCTGAGGTTTAGGGTTCTTGTGCCTTTCCATAGCCACTCTCATTTTTATCCTGGTTCAAATGCTGATAAGCCATGGCTTGTGACTGGCCTACATAGTAGGGAGAAGGGGCTGGGAAGCACAGGTGAGGGGCAGGCAGGTCACTTGGCAAGTGGATTGAAAATTTGTAGCTGGAGCAAGTCAGAAACAAGGCCAAGTGGACTGGAGTGTCTTCCCAGGTTCTAAATAGGCTCAGAGAGATCACATAGCACACTAGATGCAGAGTTCAGCTGCAGATTTTAGCTGAGCAAGCAACCTGTAGGTGGACAGAGGACATTGGCTCTGAGATGAGTGGACGCAGGCCATTGCCTACCTGAGGACTGACATGAAGCCCTTCCCTCCCTTCCCAACACATAGGGCACTCTCCTCCCTCCACATACCTGAACATCAGCTTAGGAAGAACAGCAGAAGACAGGGAAAGTATCTGAGAGATTCAGTGTCTTCATCCTGGAGATACTAAGCAATAGATGTAAGAGCTGTTTAGATTATTAAATAGGCCTACTTTTAAACCAGATTAGACATTTAGTTTATTTCTTCCCTGGTAACCTGTGGGTGCGGGAAAAAGTCTAAATTAAAGACCAAATTTAGCAAGACATCATCTTTGCATATATGAGTTATAAGCTCAAAAATTGGAGCCCCACTACTAAATCTTCCTACCACTCTGCCTCTTTTGCCACTGGCTTTTTCTGCAGATTGAAGAATTCATTAAATGGGTTTATTCTGTTGCTCTAGCTGAGTATATGGAGAGGCTCCCTCTTCTTAATGAACGGTGCATCAAATGCAAGCATTCAGTGCTCTTCATAACACTGCCCTAGGCAGTGCTCATAAGCGCAGTCCCCACTACCTTGCAACAGGACCCTCGCTCTGTATCTAGTCAGACTCCACTCCTTCTGCACCAGTGTCCCAGAATATTCCATGTTTTTTCTTCCCAAGTCTATGGCCATAATGTTTTCCTTGCTTAGTATTCTCTCCTACTGAAACACTCTGGCTTCATTTGCAGCCAATTTTAAAACCAGGGCTGGGCATGGTGGCTGACACCTGTAATCTTAGCACTTTGGGAGGCTAAGGCAGGAGGGTCTCTTGAGGCTAGGAGTTCGAGACCAGCCTGGGCAACATAGCAAGATCCTATTTAAATAAAACAAACAGGAGGAAAAAAAAAAGTAAAAATCAAAAGGGACTTTCCAATAATTATAATTTGTTCTAAAGTCTTAGCCACTTTAGAACAGGGCTATTGTTTTCCAGTATACATGAACTTTATCTTCTCTTTTTTTGAAAACCATCTTAAACCATTTTCTAATTCCCTAAAACAGCATAGGAGTATGTAGAGGATAGAAATTCAGTATGTAGCTAAAAGTGAACTAGACTCTTAGAGCAGTAGAAAAGATGGGGAAAAAAGGAGGCTTGGCTGGGCGTGGTGGCTCATGTCCATAATCTCAGCACTTTGGGAGGCCAAGGCAGGAGAATCCTTTGAAGTCAGGAGTCTAGGAACAGCCTGGGTAACATAGTGAGACCCTGTCTCTCACAAACAAAACTTCAGAATTAGTCACCATGCTGGTAGACACCCGTAGTCCCAGCTACTTGGGAAGCTGAGGCAGGAGGATTGCTTAAACCCGGGAGTTTGAGGCTGCAGTGAGCTGTGATTGCACCACCACTCTCCAGCCTGGGCCACAGAGTGAGACTCTGTTTCTAAAAAATAAAGTTAGAAAAATTAAACAAAAGGTATATTCTACTTATTAGGTGTAATTTTAATTTTTTCATTGTTGCTGACTTTAACTTGTAATGAGCGGCATAGAATTGTTTCCACGCTCGCAGGAACATCTGTATTTCCATGTGCCCAAGTAATGACAAGATTGTCCTTGACTTACCTTCATTATCCAAATAAAGTATTTGGATCATTTATACCTGTGTCCCTTAGCCAAGGGGAGATGTTAATATTATTATTTATTGAGTGTTCACAACACTCTAATGAGGTGTTAGTCACCTTTCTTACAGATGAAGAAAACTGGTATTGATTCGTTATTTGTCGAAACTCATACAACAAGTGAGGAGGAATAAACATTTGAACATAGGTTGTTTAACTCCGAAGCCTTAGGCTACAAAGTGACTATATAATAAACTGACATTGAGAACTTAAAAAACTCAGACAGAGGTTGGGCGCAGTGGCTCATGCCTGTAATCCCAGCACTTTGGGAGGCCGAGGCGGGTGGATCACCTGAGGTCAGGAGATCGAGACCAGCCTGGCCAACATGGTGAAACCCTGTCTCTACTAAAAATACAAAAATTAGCTGGGCATGGTGGCAGAGGCCTGTAATTCCAGATACTCAGGAGGCTGAATTTCTTGAATCTGAGAGGCAGAGGTTGCAGTGAGCAGAGATCGCACCATTGCACTCTAGCCTGGGCAACAGGAGGGAAACTCTTTCTCCAAAAAAGAAAACCAAACAAAAAAACTCAAAGACAAGAGTGCTAGTGATTGCTAGAAACTAAAAGAGGGTTCAGGGGAGAAGTGGGTCAGCTGAGCAAAAGTTCAGCTTCGTTTGCTGTGCTCTTTGGTCCTGTAGTTTCACTGGGTATGAAGGTTCTTGTGTGAGTTTTGAAGGCACAGAGTACTCTGCTGAGAAACTTTTTCTTAAGACGATTTTAAGTTTTTCCAGACTCCCTTTTATTCTTATGAAATAAATGGAAATAGGAGGCCAAGTGCAGTCTCTGGTGTCCAAATCCCAGCACTTTGGGAGGCGAAGACAGAAAGATGCCTTGAGCCAAGGAGTTCAAGATTAGCCTGGGCAATGTAGCAAGACCTCATTCTACAAAAATTTAAAAGCATTAGCTGAGCATGATGGTGTTTGCCTGTAGTCCCAGCTCCTGGGGAGGATGGGATGGGAGGATTGCTTGAGCCCAGGAGTTTGAGGCTGCAGTGAGTGATGATTGAGCCACTGCACTCCAGCCTGGGTGACAGTGAGACACTGTCTCTGGAAAAAAAAAAAAAAGAGAAAAAAGAAACAAGTAGAAATAGTCTTATTCGTATTTGAGGGCTAATAAGCCTGAGTTAGAAAGGCATCCAGTGATATTGTGATATGCCATTTCATGATGAACAGTTAAGTGAGAAAATAAGAATAAAATCTAGATGTGACTCTCCACTGTCCTACATCCAGGAAACTCCTGCTCTCCCCATGCTAAAGCTAAAGATTCGCAACAGGGTCTTTCTTCAAGCTAATATGATATTGTGATTTATTTGTATACTCATAAAGTTAAACATTAAAAAAATAGGCCGGGCGCGGTGGCTCACGCCTGTAATCCCAGCACTTTGGGAGGCCGAGGCGGGCGGATCACGAGGTCAGGAGATCGAGACCATCCTGGCTAAAACGGTGAAACCCCGTCTCTACTAAAAATACAAAAAATTAGCCGGGCGTAGTGGCGGGCGCCTGTAGTCCCAGCTACTTGGGAGGCTGAGGCAGGAGAATGGCGTGAACCCGGGAGGTGGAGCTTGCAGTGAGCCGAGATCCCGCCACTGCACTCCAGCCTGGGCGACAGAGCGAGACTCCGTCTCAAAAAAAAAAAATAAATAAAAAATAAAAAAATAAAAAAAAAATAAAAGTAGTGAATATTTATGAAGTAACTAAGCAATTTTGGCCAATGTGGGTGCATTCAGAAAGACGTCAATAAAAGAAATCATTCATGGCAGTAAATGAATCTCCATGACTCAAGAGAGTGGTAGAAACAAAATTAGATGACGGTTTCGTTGTGTTAGGATTCACGTTACTTTTTCTGCTTGTTAGATATACGAGGTTCAAGACTGTGAAAAATGTGAAGCAAATGATTTGCTGCTAAAGTGGTAGGGGCTTGAATTTTTTTTAAGAGGAGCCTAGGGTTTCCCTCTTCTCTGTGCAACTCTAGGGACTCCATGGAACCAACCCATTCAATCTTAAACATCCATGCAACTGGGGCCTCTTGGATCCCCAAAGCCACAAATGAGGCAAGAGTGGGTATGGGACTGCCTGCTTCCAGGAAAATCAGCTCACCTGGGGAGGAGGCAAGACTCAGTAATTCCAAACTCCTTAGGACCCCACAGGAGTCTAGAGGTCTTTAGTGGCAACCCAAAAGACTTAAGGAACTAATTATTTGTATTAAATGAGTATTTAGCTTATGTGTGTTCATTTAAATATGTACATATTAACATATAATGTTCTGATGTTCATATTAAGTGCTACAAATGTAGCATGCTACATGAATACCTAGTACTATTTTTTTAAAAAAACAATAAAAATGCTTCCCCAAATGCTCATGAAGCTTTTTGATTCCCTCCATTCAAAAGCAGACTGTAGGCCCATTAAAAAATGTGGCAGTACTAGGCAAACTCAAGATGCAATTTTGGAAAATTGGAATGAAATTTGCAGTCTTTTTTTTTTTTTTTTTTTTTTTTTGAGACAGTCTCTCACTGTCTCTCTTACTAAAGTGCAGTGGTGTAATCATGGCTTATTGCAGCCTCGACCTCCTGGGCTCAAGCATTCCACTAGCCACAGCCTCCCAAGTAGTTGGGATTACAGGCATGTGCCACCACACGTGGCTAATTTTTAATTTTCTGTAGTGATGGGGATCTCATTATGTTGTCCAGGCTGGTCTCAAACTTCTGGGCTCAAGCAGTCCTCTCACCTTGGTCTCCCAAAGTGCTGGGATTACAGGCATGAGCCATCATGCCTGGCCATAAATTTGCAGTCTTTGAGAAACAAAAAGTGTAATTGTCTTCTCACCAACTTATGCCAGATGGAGAGTGAAGGAGACACAAACCAACTCATTGATTCGTTCAACATGTATGTACTAAGCCCCTGTGCTGCTCCAGATGCTGAAGTGACAGAGGTGGGGCAGATGCTGCATTCCTGTTCCCACAGGGTTTATGGTCTAGTAGAGCAAGCACTACGGCAGACCAAATAACCAATTAGAAAAAGTGGCTGACTCATTTAAGCAACACTTATGAAGCAGGCATTGTGGTTAAACCTGGAATAGAGAACTGGGAGTTCTTAAGCTGCAAATTTATAATTCAGTTATCCCACCTGCATTTCATAGGCAAGAGAAAATGTTCCCAGCTCATCCTACCTATTGCACAGACACCTCTATTTTATGAAAAGGATTATATAATTTTGAGGAAGGTTTTTTTTTCATGTGGTTGTATTAGATGTTTGGTAATATGGTTTGGCTGTGTCCTCAACCAAATCTCATCTTGAATTGCAGCTCCCACAATTCCCCCGTGTTGTGGGAGGGACCTGGTGGGAGATAATTGAATCATGGAGGCTGTTTTTCCCGTACGTACTGTTCTTGTGGTAGTAAGTCTCACGAGATCTGACGGTTTTATCAGGGGTTTCCCCTTTCACTTGACTCTCATTCTCTCTTGCCCACCGCCATGTAAGATGTCCCTTTGCTCTTCCTTCATCTTCCACCGTGATTGTGAGGCCTTTCTAGCCATGTGGAACTGTGGGTCCTTTAAACCCCTTTTCTTTATAAATTACTCAGTCTTGGGTATGTCTTTATCAGCAGTAAGAGAACTAATACATTTGGGCGAAACTCAAGGCCAGTGTTCATTTTGCTATGTTTTGATTTTGGTACCTTGGCAAGACGAGGAATTTTTGGGGGGATTATCCTTCTGAATATTTCTTTCCGGTTAGGCATACCACGTACACCGTCCTTTCATAATCATCGTACTCTCCTGTTTTTACTTTGAAGTTAACATAGGTTAAGTTTTCCTTACTTAGTTATGAACTAACTTACCATATATCCCATTACTTATAATGGCATTATGTTATACATTTATGCCTTTACAATATCCTTTCAAATACAATTTAAATTTGATAGTATAAATATTTTTGGCATAGGGAAAAGCATTTTTAACAGGTGGGTGGCATTTAATCTATTTTATTGAGATAGCATGGGCCCAGAAAGCTTGCTGGAATTTACAAATATGATTAGATGTACGTTTCACTTTGTAAACCAGGAGAATGACTAATTAGAGCCACGACTTAAAGCCATAAGGAGTAGTTAGTGATTCAGATCATGGAAAGACTGGAATGATCAAAAGCAAACATCCTTCTCCCTCCTCATCCAGAGTTCAGGGGGTTAAGTGCTATTTGTCTCTTAAGGATTTCTTGGCTTTAACTCCATCTTTGTAATGAAGAAGACAATTAACATCTCTCTTCATTCCCTGTTAGGATGTAATATGTTAATTAGCAAAATCACTCAATTAACAGCACTTGGTAAAACATACCACTGGTTTCTCACCTTTCCCGGTCTATTTGAACACATAAACAAATGTCACATTGAAGAAAATGTCTAAAACCCCTAGAATGCATATTTATTCGTGTTTCTACTGCACTAAGAATAGGTGTCCTGGTATTTTAAACAAGGACTGGTACAGCATGCAGATACTGGCATGATCTATTTACTATTTTTATTTTATTTAATTATATAACATAATTGTAAGCTTGTACTCATAACTATGCATACCTAGAAATGTCCTCTCTTTTTATGTATTCCTGAGGCTTAGAAGGGCTACGTAACTGCCTAAGTACACCACAGCTGTAGTTAGTAGTAGAGCACAACTTTTAACTTAGAGTAGAGTGTTTTTAGAGTCTGAGTTGTTTTTTTTTTTTAAACCTACTCGAAGGACTCCTAGGAATGCATAAATGTTACAGAATGATCAGAGTTGTGGTTAAATATTTATGTACCATGTTGATGTTACTCATTTACCGTTATTTAAAATAGAGAAAAATTGGAAAGAGCATTAATGTCCAACAGTTGAAAAAATGGTTAAATAATTTATGGTAGAAGAGAATATGATTCTACCATTACAAATTATGCTTTCAAAACATGGAGCCATTTGAAGACACTTATACCATAATGCAAAGCAGAGAAGTAGAATTAGGTGACAAGGCAATAGGTACAGTATGAGTATATATTTTTAAAGAAAATACACACATACACATACATAAAAATATATAGGAAAATAACAAAATTGGAAGTAAATAGACCAACAGGTGATCAGATACTATGTCTTGATTTGGGGTAATGAGTGATTTTAATACTCTTCTGTAAACGTATCTGCATTTTTCTTCTTTTTTGTGTAAATTTAACGTGGACAACATGATTTTATATGTACAGTGAAATGATTACTATAGCTAAGAAATTTAACATATCCATCATCTTACATAGTCATTTCTTGTGTGTGTGTATGTGGTAAGAGCACCTAACATCTGCTCTCTTACTAGGTTTTCAGTAAATACAGTATTATTAACTGTGGTTCTCCTTTCTCCTGCTGCACGTTCGTTCTCTAGACTTATTTATACCCTTTGACTCACATCTTTGCCTTACCTCCTCCTCCACACCCTAATAACTGCCACTCTACTCTCTCTATGTGTTTGACATTTTTTTGAGTCCACATATAGGCCATACGCAGTGGCTCATGCCTGTAATTCCAGCACATTGGGAGGCCAAGGTGGGCAGATCACCTGAGGTCAGGAGTTCGACACCAGCCTGATCAACATGGTGAATCCCTATCTCTACTAAAAATACAAAAATTAACTGGGCATGGTGGCATATGCCTGTAGTCCCAGCTACTCGGGAGGCTGAACAGGAGAATCCCTTGAGCCCAGAAGGCGGAGGTTGCAGTGAGCGGAGATTGCGCCATTGCACTCCAGCCTGAGTGACAGAGGGAGACTCTGTCTCAAAAAAAAAAAAAAAAAAAAAAAAAAAGGAAAAAAAAGCAAGAGTCCACATATAAATAAGATCATGTAGTATTTATCTTTCTGTGCCTGGCTTGTGTCACTTAGCATAATGTTCTCCAGATTCATCTGTGTTGTTACAAATGGCAGACTTTCTGTCTAAGACTGAATTACATTATTCCTTACATATATTATATAATATATATTCCTATATATAATGTGTGTATATATATATACACATAAATATATATATGACATTTTCTTTTCTTTTCTTTTTTTTTTTAGATAGAGCCTTGCTTTGTTCTCTAGGCTGGAGCATGCTGGCGTGATCACGGCTCACTGCAGACTCAAGCAACCCTCCAACCTCAGTCTTCTGAGTAGTTGGGACCACAGGTATGTGCCATCATGTCTGGCTAATTTTTTTTTTTTCTCCTTGTAGAGACAGGGTTTCACTGTGTTTCCCTGGGCTGGCCTCAAAATCCTCAGCTCAAGTGTTCCTCCCACCTCAGCCTCCCAAAGTTCTGGGATTACAGGTGTGAACTACCACACCTGGCCTAAACATTTTCTTTATCTGTTCATCTCCTGCTGGTTAGGTTGTTTGCATATCTTGGCTTTTGAAAATAATACTGAAATGATTATGGGAGTGCATGTATCTCTCTGAGATACTGATGTAATTTTCTTTGGATATAAGCTCAGTGGTGGGTTGGCTGGATCATATGGTAATGTACAGGGGTTCCCTTTCCTCCACACCTTGTTATCTATCAACTTTTTGATCATAGCCGTTCAAACAGGTGTGAGGTAATTTTCATTGTGGTTTTGAGTTGCATTGCTCTGATGCTTAGTAATATTGATCATTTTTCTTGTACTTGTTGGCCATTTGTATGTCTTCTTTTGAGATATGTCTGGTCAGTTCTTTGGCCCGTTTATTTTCTTGTTACTGAGTTTTTGAGTTCCTTATTTAATTTGGATATTAGCTCCTTATTAGATGTATCACTTGCAAATATTTTCTCTCATTCAGTTAGTTGTCTCTTCACTTTGTTGATTGTTTCCTTTGCTGTGTAGAAGCTTTTCAGTTTGATGTAATCCCACTGGTCTACTTTGATTTGGTTACTTGTGCTTTTGGGAGTCACATCCAAAAACTCATTGCCCAGACTAATGTCATGGAGCTTCTCCCCTGTATTTTCTTCAACTATTTTTACAGTTTCAGGTCTTACACTTAAGTCTTTTATGCATTTTGAGTTAATTTTTGTTTATGGTGTGAGATATAGGTCTAATTTCATTCTTCTGCACGTGGATATCCAGCTGTCCCAACACCATTTATTGAAGAGACTTTTCTTTCACTATTATGTATTCTTGGCACCCTTGTCAAAAATTAGTTGACCATATATGCGTGGGTTTATTTCTGTGCTTTTTATTCTCTTCCATTGGACTATATGTCTGTTTTCACATCAGTATGATATTGTTTTGATTACTAAAGCTTCGTAATATACTTGGAAATCAGGGAACGTGATGCCTCCAGTTTTGTTCTTCTCAAAATTGCTTTGGCTATTTGGTGTCTTTTGTGGTTCCAAATTTTAGAATTGTTTTCTGTATCTATGAAAAATGCAATTGGAATTTTCATAGGGATTGCATTAAATCCGTAGATTGCTTTAGGTAGTATGGACATCCAATTTCACATCTTAAGAGACTAGAACAGCAAGAGCAAACTAAGCTCAAAGTTGGCAGAAGGAAGGAAATAATGAAGATCAGAGCAGAAATAAATGAAATAGAGATTAGAAAGATAATATAAAAGATTAATTAAGAGTTTTTTGAAAAAATCAACAAAATTGACAAACCTTTATTTAGACTAACCAGGAAAAAAAGATGAATCAAATGAATTATGAATGAAAGAGGAGACATTACAACTGATACCACAGAAAAACAGATACATGAGAGACTACGATAAACAATAATGACAACAAATTGGATAACCAAGAAGAAACAGGCCCAGGAGTGGTGGCTGATGCCTCTAATCCCAGCACTTTAGAGACCTGAGGTGGGAGGCTTACTTGAGGCCAAGAGTTTGAGACCAGCCTGGACAACATAGCAAGACACTGTCTCTACAAAAATAATAATAAAAAGGTTAGCCAGCCATGGTGGTATGTGTCTGTTGCCTGAGAGGCTGAGGGAGGAGGATCATTTGAGCCCAGGAGTTCGAGGCTGCAGTGAGCTATGATAGTGCCATTGCACTCCAACCTGGGTAACAGAGTGAGACCCTGACTCAGAAAAAAAGAAAAAAACCTAAGAAGGAAGGGACAAATTTCTAGAAATCCGCAAAACCAAATCACAAAGAAACAAAGTCTAAACAAACCAATAATGAATAAGGAGATTGAATCAATAGTCAGAAAACTTCCCAACGAAGAAAAGTGCAGGACCAGATAACTTCATAAATAAAATCTTACAAACATCTAAAGAATTAATACCAATTATCTCAGACTCTTCCAGAAACTTCAACAGGAGGGAATGCTTTCATATATGCATGGTTTCATTTCTGGTGGTGTACATGTCTACATGTATGTTGGTCACCCCACACCAAGACCAGATAAGGAAACTGCAAGAAAATTAAAGGCCAGTATCCCTGATGAACACGCATGCAAAAACCCTCAACAATATACCTGCAAACCAAATTGAACAGCACATCACCAAGATCATATGTCATGATCAATTGGAATTTATCCCTGGGATGCAAGAATGGTTCAATATATGCAAATCAATAAATGTGATACACCACATTAACAGAATGAAGAATAAAAATCATATAATTATCTCAGTAAATGCAGAAAAAATTGGAAAGAATGTAACTTTTTTTTTTCTTTTTTTTGAGACGGGGTCTTGCTGTGTCGCCCAGGCTGGAGTGCAGTGGCGCTATCTCGGCTCACTGCAAGCTCTGCCTCCTGGGTTCACGCCATTCTACGTCAGCCTCCTGAGTAGCTGGGACTACAGGTGCCCACCACCGTGCCCGGCTAATTTTTTTTGTATTTTTAGTAGAGACGGGGTTTCACTGTGGTCTCGATCTCCTGACCTCGTGATCCACCCGACTCGGCCTCCCAAAGTGCTGGGATTACAGGCGTGAGCCACCGTGCCCAGCCGAATTTAACATTCTTTCATGATAAAATTGGAAAGAATTTAACATCCTTTCATGGTAAGAACAGCCAACAAATTAAATCTAGAAGAAATGTTACCTCAACAATATAAAGGCCACATATGAAAAGCTCAGAGCTTATATCGTACTCCTAGGTCATTCTTGATGACAATATCCTGCCACAATTTTCTTGCAAGACTTACCACTACCTACTATTTTATTTGTTTGCTGTCTGTCTTCCGGCAGTAGAACAGGGGCATTTCTTATCTTGTTCACTGCTTTATGGCTAGTACCAATGAAAATGATTAACACAGAGCAGTTGCTCAAAAAACATTTGTTGAATGAATAATTAAATTCGAGGGCAAACAATATGCTCTCTGGGGGTAGAGGCCATGGGAGAATCATCTCTTCATGATTTATAATACCTATGATATTATTTTCAATATTTGTTGAATGAGAGAAAGTTCTTCAAATTTAGCCTGTGCTGCTATGATTTCATGTAAGCTCACTTCAAATGAATTGCTCTGTTTTCAGAAGAAAGTACAGTAGAACCTTTGTCTTTATGAATTTAATGTCTGTGATTGTCTCTCTTTAAAGGTTATCTGGAAGTTCATGACATGAAATATTTTTCAATTTTTTCTAAGTTTTTTTTTTTTTCTTGAGATGGAGTCTGTGTCACCCAGGATGGAGTGCAGTGGCGCAATCCTGGCACATGGCAACCTCTGCCTCTGGGGTTCAAGCGATTCTCATGCCTCAGCCTCCTGAGTTGCTGGGATTACAGGTGTCTACCACCGTGTGTGGCTAATTTTTATATTTTTAGTAGAGACGGGATTTTGCCATGTTGGCCAGGCTGGTCTCAAACTCTTGACCTCACGTGATCCACCTGCCTCAGCCTCCCAAAGTGCTGAGATGACAGGCATGAGCCACTGCACCTGGTCAATTTTTGCTGAGATTAATTTGAATCCTAAATGCTAGTGAACAGGACTGAATCCCTTTGAGACAAATGTAGCCAAAAGCCAATGTGCAACCCAGGATGTGTGCATTTGGAAGTGGGCTGGGGTTCAATTTATGACCTCGTGTGTGCATGAAATTTTTTTATTCTGCCAGAAAATGTTGCCTGAACTGACAACAGCTTCAAGAGCTGATGAAGTAAAGGAAGGAGACTAAAAAAGAAGTACTAGTTCTTAGCCGGAAAATAGACCTTTTTGGTTAGAGTGAAATGTTATATTTATGGGTGACTAGAATCTATGATATCAAGCCAGACATATGTTCTTTATGAGAATGTTAAAAAGCAGAATTTATAAAACAAATTGAGTAAGCATCTCAGGTAGGACAGAAACTGATCATTGAGTGAGAGTTAAATCATTTACATATAATTTTTCAGCTATATGCAACTGCATTGCATGGGGAAAATGACATGTGGTTTATGAATTTGGGGATTTTCCAGGGTTTTAGGAAGTCTCTGATAAGTTAAACAATCTATTCTTTAATGAGCTAACAGGGGGTTGGTATCTTCAAAAACAATAGATGGAGATTAACCTATAAAAAATTAATTAGAATATAAACACTGGCAGAATTTAAAGACAGAAAACTCTCTGTTCCCGTGGTTGAAGGATCCATTTCTTTGCTGTTTCCCGAAAAACTCCTTTCATGTTTCCTTCTCATCACTGTGTTCTGTTGATCCTTGCTCCTCAATTCTCCTGCCAGCCATTTTCCCTGGAAATGTTCTACCATTAACAAGTGTCTGACTGTTTAATGTTCTCTCTGAAAGTTCAGAAAATGACATAGACAATGTCTAATTATTAGCTTGCACAGTATGACCAGCGTCAACATTGTTACATTTTGCATAATTTTATGGACAGAATCTGTTTTACTTAAATATCATCAGACTAATTTACTCTGGATCAATGGGCAGGCTGATAACAATTATAAGATGATTGTGCAGACATAGCCTATTATAGGGGCATATCCATTTCATCCTAAGTGATCAAAAAAGAAGTGGCATAATGTTTTGATGTATTAACTGGTGCGTTTTATTACACTATTTTTTGAGATGGGGTCTCACTCTGTTGCCCAGGCTAGAGTGCAATGGCATGATCACAGCTCAGTGCAGCCTCAACCTTCTGGGCTCAAGTGATCTTCCCACCTCAGTATCCTGAGTAGTTGGGACCACAGGTAATGTGCTACCACACTTGGCTAATATATTTTTATGTTTTGTAGAAATGGGGTCTCCCTACATTGCCCGAGCTGATCTTGAACTTCTGTGCTCAAGTGATCTTCCTGCCTTGGCCTCTGGAAATGCTGGGATTACAAGGTGTGAGCCACCGCACCCGGCCACCTGGTGTGTTTTACATTGTTGTTGTTCCCTTGCATTTCTTGCCTTTATCCTCATTCGGTCAGTGGTATGCTGCCAATTCATACGTCCCAGTATTATCCCGTAATATTTGGAAAAGTTGGTATCAACTAAGAGTGCAGGAGTACAAGTCTTAACTTTGGAGTTTGAAAAGCTGAAACCCCAGGAATAAAATTTCTTAATTTAGAAGAATATACAGCTAGGCAATTTTTCTTATTCCTGGAAATAGACAAAGATTTCTTGGATTGAGGGATGGAAGATGATATCAATAGTTGAGGAGGAACAGGAGAGTTGAACGATGTGTCTTTGAGAACGGGATCATTACTTTATCTCCATGCCAGACTGAAAAACCCTGGACTGGGGATGAAATCAGATAAAAAAAAATTCTGGTAATTTTGGGAAATGTGAAAACAGAGAAATTTTGCCCTGTGCTCCCTGGATAGAACCCAAGAAAGCAGCAAAATCTCAGGTTGCTTGCCCTGTGGGGATTGTATTTAATCATTCACACACTGATTTGTCTGTTCAACAGGTATTTTCTTTTTCATTGATTGATGGATTGATTGAGAAAGGGTGTCTGTACTCCAGCTCTGTCACCCAGGATAGAGTGCAATAGTGTGATCATAGCTCACTGCAACCTCAAACTTCTGGGCTCAAACAATCCTCCCACCTCAGTCTCCCAAGTAGCTAGGACTACAGGCATGTGCCACCATGCCTGGCCACTTTTTAAAAAATTCTTTTGTAGGGGCAGGGTATTGCTATATTGCCCAGGCTGGTCTTGAACTCTAGGTTCAAGCGATCCTCCTGCCTTGGCCTCTTTAGAGATATTTTCTGCCTACTAAGTGGTAGTCACTGTGCTTAGCACTGGAGACAGCCATGTATGGAACCATGGCCTAGGAACAAAAAATCAGTAGCACCTAATCATTCTCAACAGATCTCTTTGTCTACAGTTGGCCCTGTCAAGCTGACGGTAACTCCATTCCCTCCAGTGTCCAGGACAAAACCTTGGTATCTTCAACTCATCTTTCTCCAATCCTGTAAGAAATTCTGATGGCTCTACTTCAAATATACCCGGAATCTAAACACTTTTCCCTACCTCCACTGCTACTGAAATAGCTTCTAACTGGTTTCCTTTCTTCAACCCTCTTTCCTTAGTGTGGTCTTAACATCATGACTAGAGCAGTCCTTTTAAAATCTGTCAAATTGGGCTAGGCACAGTGACTTCCTCTTGTAATCCAAGCTATTTGGGAGACTCAGGCAGGAGGATTCCTAGAGGCCAGGAGTTCGAGGCCAGCCTGGGCAACATAGCAACACCCCATCTCTACAAAAAGTTTTTTAAAATACTAGCTGGACATGGTGGCACACACCTATAGTTCCAGCTATTCAAGAGGCTGAGGTGGGAGGTTCACTTGAGCCCAGGAGGTCAAGGATGTAGTGAGCTATGAATGTGCCACTGCACTCCAGCCTGGGCTATAGAGTGAGACCCTGACTCAAATAAATCATAAATAAATAAATGATCAATACATCAAAATATGTCACTTCTTCGGTAATTGTCCATTTCTCTCACAGTAAAAACCCAAGCCAGTCTTCCCCTCTCGGTTGCCTTCCTGAATGGATCCCTTGATTTTATCACCCTTGCTCACTCCACTCTGCCATGTTGGCCTTCCTGTTGTTCTTTGGACACGGCTACTCTTGCCTTCGGGCCTTTGCACCTGTCATTCCTTCTGCCTGGAACGCCCTTCCTCCAACTACTAACCTGACTGTTCTTCACCTCTTCCAAGTCTTTGCTCTGATATCACCCTCCCGATGGACTCCATCTTGACAAGTCTATTTAGAATTTCAAGGAGCCACCCAACCCTGAATTCCTAAGTCCTCTTCATCCCGCTCTACTTTATTCCACAGCACTTCCCAATTTCTTATATACTACATAATTTCTTACTTATCGTTTTGCCTGTTATTTGCTGTTGATTTCCTCATCCGAGAATGCATGTTCTTGAGGTCAGAGATTTTTCTCTGTTTTGTTCACTGTAGTTTCCAAGAGTCTAGAACAGTGCCTGGAACACAGTAGGTTCTTGGGAGATATTTGCTGCTATAGATCGTTGAAAGAATTGTTTTATAG
This sequence comes from Homo sapiens, assembly GCF_000001405.40. Classification (NCBI taxonomy): domain Eukaryota; kingdom Metazoa; phylum Chordata; class Mammalia; order Primates; family Hominidae; genus Homo; species Homo sapiens. The sequence continues at coordinate 16,331,428 of NC_000010.11, read as the reverse complement.
AAAGGTGCAGGAAGCCCTACATTGATTGTTCAAGCACTAAAAAGTAGCATTATAATAGTGGAAGGTCTTAGCTTTGTAGAGTTTCCTGTCCTTGGAGAGGCGTGAAAGAGGGCTCAGAACTGGTCAAGAAAGAGCTCAACCTGAGAGATTGAGGGGTGAGAATGGGGCATCATGGCAGTGAACAATATGGATGGGTGATTAGGACCCAAGGAATGAGAGTGATTGGGGAAACTGAGTGGAGGGCAGGGTGGACATTTGTTTACCAGCAACCAGACCACTCACAGCATGTTAGCCCTCTGTAAGCCCTCTGTTATGAAGATGTAGCTTTGGGTACAGGCTGATTAATATTTCTTCTTCTGATGTGTCTTAGTCCATTTGCACTGATGTTAAGGAATACCTGAGACTGGGTAATTCATACAGAAAAGAGGTTTATTTGACTCACAGTTCTGCAGGCTGTGCAAAAAGCATGGAACCCATATCTGCTTCTGGTGAAAGCTTTAAGGTACTTCTGTTCATGGTGGAAGCAAAGAGAAGTTGGCATGTCACATGGTGAGGGAGAGAAGAGGGGCCAGGCTCTTTTTAACAGTTAAATCTTGCAGGAGCTAATACAGCAAGAACTCACTTATTACCATGAGGACACACCAAGCCATTCATGAGGGATCCACAGCCATGACCCAGACGCCTTCCGTTAGGCTCCACCTTTAACACTGGGGATCAGATTTCGGCATGAGATTTGGAGGAGGCAAATATCCAGACAATATCAACGTAGAATAGAGATAACAAGAAAAAGTTACTATGACACATAGAAAATGTTACATGGTTTTTGTACTTGAGTTGTAAGGACTGAGATTTTTGCTTCATACGAAAATAGCTTGGCCAGTCTCTGTGATTTCTCAGTAAACTTGAAGCCAGTGAACTCATGTCATAGCAGACACATGAAGTATGAATAAATGCAAGATGAATAGTGGAGTAGAGAGAAAAGATGACTTCCTTTTATCATTTTTGTGTGTATGGGCAAAAGTCAAGTTTTCATGTCATGCACTGTTTTAAAAGTCTTATTAAGATTTTCTGATTGTGGTAAAATTTCTCAACACCGAGAGGATATTTTATGTATCCCTATGTTCTGCCATTGCTTGTTCTAACAGGCATAGTATACGTAGCTGGCAGACAATCAAGTGGGAAATTCGTTTCCATTTATGCATTTAAGAAGCACCAAATACCTACCCCATGTGAAGAATCCTCTACAAATGAAATGCACACAAGCTGAATTGCCAGCAGCTTTATGGATGCATCTGTCTGTATTCCTCTGGGACACTGAGAATAACATATCCACAGTGGAACTCATCTTCAACCCCCACATACACTTGTTTGCTCCTTAACTTGGCTAAAGTCATCACTGTTCTTCTAGTTATCAAGCCAGAAACTCTGCAGTCCTCCTAGAATAGCGCTACTGAAAATGTGCTCTGAAATGAATGCTTGACCACAGATTACCATAACAAGATTAAGTACGGAAATTGAACATAAATGAAACTTTTAAAGCAACTTGACATTTCAGCAATATCCAAGCACATGATCATTTTTCCCTTTACTTGACGGAAGTATTGGTCCACGATGGGTTAGAAATTCTAAAAATGGGACTCCACCAAGATGATTTGAAAAGCCCTATTCTAGGCCATTTCTTTTCCCTCGCTAAGAAGGCATACATCCTGAAATACCTCCCAAATATATATCAGATCACTTCCTTCTTTCCTTTAAGTTTAGGCTCTTCCTTTCTTCCTTTCTTTTTCCTTTGTTTTTCCTTTCCTTTCCTTTCTTTCCCTCCTTCCCTCCTTCCCACCCGGCTGCCTTTCTTTCTCCCTTCCCCTTCCCTTTCCCCTTCTCCTTTTTCCTTCCTTCCTTCCAACAGGGTCTCACTCTGTCACAGCCTGGAGTGCAGTGGTGTGATCACTGCTCACTGCAGCTTTGAATTTCTGGGCTGAAGTGATCCTCCCACCTCAGCCTCCCAAGTAGTTGGGACTATAGGTGCACACCAGCATGCCTGACTCCATATATATATATATATATTTTTTTTTTTTTTTTTTTTTTTTTTTTTTGGGATAGGGTCTTGCTTTGTCACCCAGGCTGGTCTCAAACTCCTGGGCTCAAGTGATCTTCCCATGTCAGCCTCCCAAAGTTCTGGGATTACAGATGTCAATCCCTGTGGCTGGCAGGCTCTCATTTTTTACCTGAGCTATGACAATGGCCAGCTAACTGTTTTTTCTTCCTCAAGGCTGTGCACTCCTCCTCCAAGCATACACCGTATTACCTCTAAAGTAGTATTTTAAGATGTAAATACCATCACATGACTGTTCTTTTAAAATTCTTCTGTGATTCTCTACTAGCTACAGAATGAAGTACATTTTCCTTTGGATGATTTCCAGTGCCCTCTGCTATGGTTTGATGTGGTTTATGTGACCCCATCAAGTCTCATGTTAAAATTTGATTTCCAGTATTGGTGGTGGGGCCCAGTGGGACGTGTTTAGGTCATGGGGATGGGTTCCTCATAAATGGCTTCGTGCCATTCTTGTGGGAGTGAGTGAGTTCTCACTTAGTTCCTGCAAAAGCTGCTATTTGAAAAGAGCCTAGGACCTCCTCTTCTTTGTGGCACTTTCTCTTTCACTGTGTCGTTTGCATACACCAGCTCCCTTTGGCCTTCCATCCTTAAGTGGAAGCTTCCTGAGGCTTTCATCAGAAGCAGATATTGGCGCCATGCTTCTTGTACAGCCTGCAGGACCATGAGCCAAATAAATCTCTTCTCTTTATAAATAACCTAGCCTCAGTTATTCCTTTAGAGCAATGCAAATGGACCAAGACACCTCCATAATCTGGCCCATTTCCGTTTTTTAGTTTTGTCTTCTGCTACTCTCTACCGTTTAGTCTATATACCATCCATATAAAACTTTTTGGGTTTACTAAACACACTTGGTTTTTTCAGACCTCTGCAACTTCAAACATTCTGTTCTATATAACCAAAATAACTGTCTGTATTTGCTCCTTGGAAAAATCTTTTTCTGTAAAACTTCACTCAACAGAATCCAGTTAGGATTGGGATAATGGGAAGCAGGACAAAGTTAGTTTATTGGTACATCTGGGTCAGAAGTGAAAAGGAGGGCAAGTGCCTCAGGGCGGGGCAGGAGAATGTCCAAAGCTTGGGGTGAGGGTGTCTGAGCCACACAGCAGCAGGAACACCTCTGGGTGAGTCCAGATTTCAGAGACAAGAACCATGTCAGATCTAACCAAGAATAAGTTGTGGTGGTGTTGAGCAGCAAACTCCAAGGTCAAGAAAAATGTCACAAAACGTTGCCTAGCTGTCACAGCTGGGGAGCACAGCAGGATACTGACCGAGGTACGATCTGAAGATGGAAATGCAGCCTCCACCTACACGTAAGTCTGCTAGATGCTTTGTTGGTGCTGCGGTTGATTTTTGCTTCTACACATGCAGAGCTTCTCACGCTGGGATGCTTTGTATCAAGAAATCTGATCTATTCTGCTCAGGTATCACTTCATTTCATCTTCTTGCTATAGTTTGCTTATGTGTATAAACTTTTAACCTATTCATATGCCTGTAAGCTTATTGGCTACTAACTCTCTGTATTGGGTTGCATTTATTTATTTACATATTTGCCACTCTGCTAGTCGGAGAGCTTCTGGAGTGGGAGCCTGCCCCTTGTTTATCTCCCTATCTTCATTGCGTAGCACTGTTTGTTGGTGTATAACTGGCATCTAAGCAGATGTTTGTTGAATGAATTATTAAGTGAATACACAAGTGCTAATTTGTGATATTCAAGGAGCTAGATGTAGAGCAATCTTTTGGCTGCCTTTTAGTACATTTTACAGTTGACTGTAAAATCTAGGGCAGAGTCTCACCCAGGCAGTGAGCAAGTTTCCAATGAGCTCTTTGGAGGGGAAATATCATCTACAACTAGTACACTTCACAGTATTGACTTGTTCAGGACAAAGACGCTCTGAGTTGATTCATATGAGAAACTGAATTGTCCAGGTTATGAATGAATCTAGTCAAGGGGTCAGCAATTTTTTTTTTTCTGTGAAGGTTCAGAGAGTAAATATTTTAGGCTTTGTAGGCTATACAGTCTCTGTTGCATCTACTCTAATTCTGAATTTGTAGTGTACAAAATGTCATAGCCAATGTATAAATAAATGAGTATAGCTGCATTCTAATAAAACTTTATCTACAAAACCAGGTAGTGGGCCAGATTTGGCCTGTGTGCTATAGTTTGTCCATTCCTGATCTAGTCAGTTCTTCCAGTATTTCATTACCAGAAGGGGTCTGAGTGTGGGAGAAAAGGATAGACAGTAATGGTTACTACATACACTGAGCTTGATACTTAACATTATGTCATTGATTTTTTGCTGCACTCGGTAAGATGTATAGTATTATTCCATTTGATAGTTGGAGAAAGTAAAGTTCAAAATATCTATGTGGCTTGATAAGATCACATAAACAGTAAGTGATAAACTCCCTTTTTATTTTATTTTTCTTTTTTGAGACAGGATTTTGCTCTGTCATCCAGGCTGGTGTGCAGTGGAGTAATCACAGCTCACTGCAGCCTTACCTCCTTGGCTCAAGCAATCCTCCTGCTTCAGCCTCCTGAGTAACTGGGACCACAGGTGTATGCCACCACAATTGGCTAATTTATTTTTATGTTTTGTAGAGACAGAGTCTCCCTACATTGCTCAGGCTGATCTCAAACTCCTGGGCTCAACTAATCCTACCACCTCAGCCTCCTGTGCTGGGATTACAGGCATGAGCAACTGCTCCTGGCTGGTAAACTCTTTTGATTTCAACCAAATCAAGCTGATTACAAAACTCATGTTTTCTTCATTAAAATACACTGTCTCCATTTCATTGTCAATTGACTCATTGTGAGAGAAACTGTGGCAAGTTTAAAGTTGTCTTTTGTCAATCAGGAGAGGTGTGGCTGTAATATGGTAATGACTCCAGTAATCTCAAGCACCTTAAGCACCCACGTGGACTGTGAAATACACACTGTTATGAAAGGGGTTTGGACCTTAGGGCCACACAGGTATTTTGTGTGTGTGTGATTCTGATGAGTTTCGTCCATTTCCACAGAAAGTGTAGGCTGAGAACAGATCGGGTTCTTGGTGATACTAGTTGTTCATCTCAGAGCAGCAGGGTCTCTGCTTCCTGTTGTCCTCACTCTGAGACTCAGGCTTGGGGACCTTCACCCCAGCTACAGGGGTATCCCTGCTACCTATGCCAGGGGAAAAGAACAGGGCAGACCATGTATATATCTTATAGGTGTTTCCCAAGAATTGGTGTACATTAGAGCCACTCACCTTCACTGGCTACAGTAAGTCAGATTTTTTAAAAATTTAACTTTAAAGTGGGCAGGTAGCTGGCCATGTACCCAGGATAAACATAACTATAAATATAAGCGAATTGGCTGGAGGCAGTGGCTCAAGCCTATAATCTCAGCACTTTGAGAGGCCAAGCTGGGTGGATCACCTGAGGTCAGGAGTTTGAGACCAGCCTGGCCAACATGGTGAAACCCTGTCTCTACTGAAAACCCAAAAAATTAGCCGGGTGTGATGGGTGCCTGTAATCCCAGCTACTTGGGAGGCTAAGGCAGGAGAATCACTTGAACCTGGGAGGCAGAGGTTGTGGTGAACCGAGATCGGTGCCACTGCACTCCAGCCTGGAAGATTGAGTGAGACTCTATCTCAAAAATAAACAAATAAGTTAATAGCACTGATAACTACAAAGAACTTTTTTTTGCTAAGTAGATTAAATGTCAAAAGTTATTCTATCTGAAATTACGCCAATGTGTGTGGGAGAAAACGGAGGTCCAGACGCCTTCAGAACATATTAATGTTAATATCACCTTATGTGTTAATTACCAAAAACGTTCTTTCCTGACTCATTTACTCCATTATGTACTTGGACGGTGAGTACCTTCTCCAAATATTTTGACAATAGGGAATGGAGGCATTCCACAAAGTATTGGATGTTATTTAATACCTTGTGGAATTGCTGTCAAGTCAAGGTTTAAAGAAACTTTAGTAACGTTCAAAGAGGCATCTATATGACAGTGAAGTTCTTCTACATGGAAAGGGTATATGGAGATAATATAGCCAATGTGGAAACTAACGTTAATTAGGGAATTGGGTAAGGGTAAACTTGGCTCCTGGGATATGGAACAAACTTCTGTCTTCAGTTAACACCATACAATTTTACCAACAGAGCTGAGTTCTTTGTAACTATGTATAAATGCACCTCATGCTATATCCTCCTGATCCCCAGAGCATGAGTAACTGCTAGAGAACTGGAGGGTAATTTGCAAGGTCTCTAAGCCTGTTATTGATTTTCACTGGTTAAAACCCATAAGTGGGCTGTTCACACATCCTGAGAATATGGATTCTTTCATCCCTAGGGCCACCAGCTGGCTAGAATCTCCAAGAGACTTCAGGCCTCATGCTGATCATCATGCTGCTTCTCTCTGTTCTCTATTAATGCTTAGGAGGGATGGGTGGGGGCATTGAAGGCAGTTGAGCTTCCTGCCTCCATCCAAGTGCTGAAAAGAAAAGGACTACATATCAGGGTTCATGTTTCAGCATGAAGATGTTGTGTGAACTGATTCCACGTATACATCCCTTCAACTTCTCTTTGTCCAGGTCAGTGATGCTGAAGGAATTACCCATGTTCAGTTGAAGTGGAAGTCTGAGCTGATTCCAAGTTTGGTCTATCTGATTCTCTATACTGTGGTATAAAATATATTAGGGTGGACATGAGTGCAGAAATGGTGGCCATAGGTTATGGGGTCTCTTTAGAGCAATGAGACTTTTGACTGAAGAGTTCTTTAATTAAAGTTTTAGGAAGGACAACTGTTTCCTAGTCAGTTTGAGAATCCAAGTGATATGATTTGGCTGTGTCCCCACCCAAATCTCAGCTTGAATTGTAGCTCCTGCAATTCTCACATGTCATGGGAGGGACCAGGTGGGAGGTAACTGAATCACTGGGGCTGGTCTTTCTCACACTCTTCTCGTGATAGTGAATAGTCTTATGAGATCTGATGGTTTTATAAAGGGGAGTTTCCCTGCACAAGCTTTCTCTCTTCCCTGCCGCCATGTAAGATGTGCCTTTTGCCTTCTGCCATGATTGTGAGGCCTCTCTAGCCATATGGATGTAAGTCCATTGAACTTCTTTTCTTTTCTTTTTCTTTTCCTTTCCTTTCCTTTCCTTTCCTCTTTCTTTCTTTCTTTCTTTCTTTCTTTCTTTCTTTCTTTCTTTCTTTCTTTCTTTCTTTTACTTTCTTTCTTTCTTTCTTTTTTTTGACAGAGTCTCACGCTATGGCCTGGGCTGGAGTGCAGTGGCATGATCTCAGCTCACTGCAACCTCCGCCTCCCTGTTTCAAGCGATTCTCCTGCCTCAGCCTCCCGAGTAGCTGGGATTACAGGCACCCGCCACCATGCCCAGCCATTTTTTTTTTTGTATTTTTAGTAGAGACAGGGTTTCACCATGTTGGCCAGGCTGGTCTTGAACTTCTGACCTCATAATTCGCCCACCTCAGCCTCCCAAAGTGCTGGGATTACAGGCATGAGCCACCACACCTGGCCTAAACCTCTTTTTCTTTATAAATTACCCAGTCTTGGGAATGTCTGTATCAGCAGCATGAGAGTAGACTAATAAGCCATTGAGTGAGTTAAGCTTTTATTGGCTCTACTTTGGACTTACTCTTGATTCTTAGACTATTTCATCATCTGTCTTTTAATTCCTGTAAATGTAAGAGGGGTAAGTCCATAGAAACCTGTCTTTCTTATTGCAGCATCAGAAGGCCAAGTAAAAAAACTTCTTTAGTAAATTTTCTAATGTTTCTCGGTCAAAAAATATCACAATCCTATAAATCGTACTGCCATAAGAAATGTCCCGCTGGGTCTGACCAGTACTGCGTCCAGCCAGCATTCTGTTTGGTCATCTAGATTCAGAATTCTCCTTTCTCCACCTTGCTAGTCTTCCCTGGGAGGCTGGCCTTTGTAGATGTAGAGGACATCAGCCACTCTTTTTTGTCTCCTGATTTCTGTTAGATTTCAGCCAATGGGAAGCACTGGCAGGAAAGTCAAGTGTAGGAGGAGAGAAAAGTCAGGGTGTTTATTCTCCTGGTTCCCTCTCTCCATAGTCTAAGATAGGCAGGGGCCCTATTCTTCTACCAAGGCTATGGCTCTTGTCAGGCAGCCCTGTCCCACAGCGTGAGGTCTCACTGAGTTCTAGCACTTGCTCCCACCCCTATCTCTTTAGTCCTAGGCCCAGTTTCCCTCTGTTGCTCATCCCTGGGTGATTCATCATCCCTTCTTGGGTACCCTTAACATTGGCTACCATGCTGCACATAGCCACTTTAACATATCTCTCCAAATTCCCTCTGTGAATGAGGCATCTGTTCCCTGCTAGGCCCCTGACTGATGCAGGGTGGTTTGCACCTTCTGTTGGGGTGCTGTGCCATTTAGGGTGGGTGCAGAGATACTGAGTGATGGAGATAAATTGGTTTTATGTCCCAAGGACTGGTTTTGTTGAGCTCTGCAGAGTATCTTCTGATGGAAATAACCAATGGTGGTTTTTCTTTTCTGTGCCTTGTTGGAGAAAGCATATTTAGTGCCTTTCTATATGCCAAAGAAGAAACTGAACTGAATGCACACTTGAATAGTGTATTAGTTTCCTATTGTTGCTGTAATAAATTACCAAACACTTGGTGGATTAAAACAACACAAATTTATTATCTTACATTTATGGAAATCAAAAGTGGCGGTCAGGTGCATTGACTCATGCCTGTAATCCTGATACTTTGGGAGGCCAAGGTAAGAGGATTACTTGAGGCCCCAGGAGTTTGAGACCAGCTTGGGCAACATAGTGAGATGCCCATCTCTACAAAAAAATAAAAATAAATAAATTAGCTGAGTGTGGCGATGTGCACCTGGTGTCCCAGCTACTCGGGAGACTGAGGTACGATTGCTTGAGCCTAGGAGTTTGAGGCTGCAGTGAGCTATAATTGTGCCATGGCACTCCAGCATGGGTGAACAGTGAGACCCCCGTCTTTAAAAAAGAAAGAAAAAAATGGGTCTCACTGGGCTAAAATTAACATGCCAGCATGGATGCTTCCTTTGCAGGGGTGAGGCTGGAGGAGAACAATTTGCTTGCCTTTTCCAGCTTCTAGAGGCTGCCACATTCTTGGTTCATGTCTCCCTTTTGTCTTCAAAGCCAGCAATACCTGGCTGAGTCTTTCTCACATAGCATCACTTTGAATCCACCTCTCCTGCCTCCCTCTTTCACTTATAAGGACTGTATTAGTCCATTTTCACACTGCTGATAAAGACCTACCTGAGATGGGGTAAATTATAAAGAAAAAGAGGTTTAATAGACTCCCAGTTCCACCTGGCTGGAAAGGCCTCACAATCATGGCAGAAGGCAAAAGACACATCTTACATGGTGACAGGCAAGAGAGAGAATGAGAGAGAAGCAAAAGTGAAAACACCTTATAAAACCGTCAGATCTCGTAAGACTTATTCACTACCACGAGGCCAGTATGATTCAATTATCTCCCACTGGGTCCCTCCCACAATGCATGGGAATTATAGGAGCTACAATTCAAAATGAGATTTGGATGGGGACACAGAGCCAAACCATATTAAGGACCCTTCTGATGACACTGGGCTCACTTGGACAATTCAGAATAATCTCTCCAGTTCAAGTTCAGCCTTAATTCTACCTGCAACATTCATTTCCCCTTACCATGTAACGTAGCGTATTTATAGGTTCTGGACACTAAGACCTTGATGTCTTTGGAGAGGGGCCATTATTCTGCCTATCAGACAGACCTCGACAATGCTGAAGGGGATGCAACTCTGTAAAACTGAACATTATGCTTCTGTTCCTATGCAAACACAGAGGCAGGGTGAAGAGTATTAGCTAGGAATTCAGGAACTTTAAAGTGGAGGGCATACATTTTGAGAGCTGCTCTACCAACAACCAGCCATGAGAACTTGAGAAAACAAGATTTGTCCCAGGCCAACTGAAATTTCTTTCTGTCTTTCTGACTGTCTTCCTGTCTTCCTTTCTTTCCTTTTTTTTTTTTTTTTTTTTTTTTTTGACAGTCTTTCTCTGTTACCCAGGCTAGAGTGCAGTGGTGTGGTCTTGGCTCACTGCAACCTCCACCTCCCGGTTTCAAGTGATCCTCCTGCTTCAGCCTCACAAGTTGCTAAGATTACAGGTGCACACCACCACACCCACTAATTTTTGTAGTTTTAGTAGAGATAGGGTTTCACCATGTTGGCCAGGCTGGTCTTGAACTCCTGACCTCAGGTGATCTGCCCACCTTGGCCTCCCAAAGTGCTAGGATTACAGGTGTGAGTCACTGTGCCCGGCCCTGAATTTCCTTCTAACTCCAACAGATAGTGATTATTTTATTTAATAGACAAAGGAAATACATTTTAAGTTCTAGTACTTGGAAAGAAGGCTAGAATTTCTCTTATGAACTTATGATTATGGTGGAAAAGATTCAATACTCATGACCAATGTGAACCAATGTCTTTCCAACACTGCCTGCAACACATTTAAATTAAGAGTTATGGCCGTAGTTATGGGATCAAAAATAATGCTCACATTGGCCAGACGCAGTGGCTCACACCTGTAATCCTAGCACTTTGGGAGGCCAAGGTGGGCAGATTGCTTGAGCTTAGGAGTTTGAGACCAGCCTGGGCAACATAGTGAGACCCTGTCTCAGATAAAATAATAATGATGATAATAATAATAACAGTCACATTGACCTTTGAGTCTTTCCTGTACAGTTTCCCTACTGAACTGCATTGACTTTGTTAGAAACTTGGTCTCTATTTATACAATGATATCATTATCTTTTTTTTTCTTTTACAGATATACCTTTTGCTTTCACAGATATTATCTTTGCTTAAAACAAGAACATGTGTTTGAAATAGGAATTGTATTCCATAATAAAAGATTTTCCCAAGGCTTACGAATCGGCTTTCACCTCCAGTCTCCACAATAGGAGCCAAAAAGCAATGTGAAAGTGAGAAAATAATAAGACAGAACAATCCTAGAGCATCCCAAGAAGCAGTGCAAAACGCTTTTCAAAGCTAACATATACATGTGAATTGGGTGACATTACATTACGTCTGCGGATACACGGTGAGCTGTGGCCCTTGTTCAAAATGCAAGGAAATTCAGAGCCATATCTTCTGCAGTGAGATAGTCCCTGGGAGTTTAGAACACACATATTTTTTTTAAATGATATCAGACCTATTTCTCCAACCATTTATTTTTCCCTTCCAAAAACCATAGTAATAACGTTTTCTAGCGACATAAAAAACTGCATTGGTGCCAAAAAAATTGCAACAGCATATGCTAATTCAGTGCTGTAGTAACTTCACATCTTGATAATGCCTTAGAAATGAAAACAGCCCTCAGATTGGATCTGACCCTCTAAGCAAATCCTAACTAGGAAGGTAAGTTGTGTTGCCTGTGTCAAAGTCCACAACTCTATCTCCTGTTCAGGGACAGACAAGATCCCTGGGTAGCACTCTGTTGAACTCAAGAGAAGGAAGAGGCCACAAAAAATGTCAAAGATGAGCAAAGAAGCATACATGTAATATCTATCATGTGGACATATTCTGTTACTGGCTCACAGACATGTCCTGATTGGTTATTAAGATCTTTAAGATTTGGGGGCAGCTGCATGATGAAAATGTAGGCGCTCTCAGCTTTCAGAGTGTTGTGGGGTTCTCTTCCCTGGGTCTTGAAAAGCAGAACAGATTTTCACCTTTTGGGTGTTCTTTGAGTTAGTCTCATCCTGCCTGAAATGCACACAGAGAAGAAAGAGTTTCAGGGTGGAGGAGATGAACTGAACACTTCGCAAACTACTGAGGACCACTGATTATATCCAATCTGGACAGAAAAGCCACCTTTTTCTGATACATGTACATAATGTCATGTGATGTGGGAGCAGTAGAAAAAAGTGATGCACAGTCTCCGGGGCTGTCAAGGAGGTAAGAAGCCAGATGGGGAGATGAGATGTGGACATGAATAGAGAGCAAGGCAGCGCCTGATAAGCGTCTGCTGAGACCAAAAGATGTGTTTTCTGTATCTTACTGTGTTTATTTATGGAAATCCCATTCATCCTATAAAGTCCATCCTCCACAAGGCTGCCTTTGATCATGCTGAGAAGTGATGTTTTCCCCTTTTGTATCTTTACCACTTGTAAGGAATTAAAACATTTGTGTGTGTATCTTAATTTCCCTCCTCAATGGAGACATTTCTGGAGGGAAGGGAGGAAAATTAGGTTTCTGGTTTTCTCTCTGTATCTATTTCATGTAACATCTTTAGTAGGAGTCCAATAACCTTATAAAATGAAAAAGTGAATACATTCTTATTTTGATTGATTGATTGTTATAGAGACAGGGTCTTACTATGTTGCCTGGGCCAGTCTTGAACTCCTGGTTTCAAGTGATCCTTCTGCCAGGGCCTCCCAAAGTGCTGAGATTGCAGCCGTGAGCCACTGTGCCTGGACAAATTTTTGTAAAATGAGTAAATAAGAGGCGTAATAAGCGTACAGAAGTGATTGCTTCTGCTTGAAATATTGAGGGAAGGTTTTATGGGAGAAGTTGTATTTGATTCCCTTTGGGGATCATTGTAAGGGTAGAGCCCTTGCTGACACATCAAGTTCATGGCACCAAAAAGTAAAAGATCTATAGCTCTGAAGAGACATCCATAAATATTGTCATGTTCCTTCTCTACCACCAACCCCCCAGCCCTAACACACACACACACACACACAAGAAGAGTGAGGATTTCTGACTTACAGTGTTTAGCACAGTGCCTAACACATGGAAGATGGTCAGTAAAAGTTGAATAAATGATTAAAATGCTTTGATGAAGAAATTCATCTCAACGATATATTGGCAATCAACAATCCTTCCTTTTAGAAAGAACAGATGGAGTTTTATTGAGACATATCTTATAGCACAAATATTTTCTAATTTTAATCCTGACAACAATGCTATGAGGCTGATATTATTCCTGTTTTTTGTTTGTTTGTTTGTTTTTTCCAAGACACGGTCTCATTCTGTCATCATCACCCAGAGTATGGTGGTGCAATCATGACTCACTGCATCCTCAAACTCCTGGGCTCAAGCAATCCTCCAGCCTCAGCCTCCCAATCAGCTGGGGCTACAGGCGTTTGTCACCACACCTGGCTAATTTTTTTATTTTTTTATTTTTTTATTTTTGTAGAAATGGGGTCTTGCTATATTGCCCAGGCTGGTCTTGAACTCCTGGTCTCAAGCAATCCTCCTACCTGGGCCTCCCAAACTGCTGGGATTACAGGCATGAGCCACTGTGCCTGGCTGCCTGCCATTTTTTTTTTAATAGGTAAAACCTTGGGTGAATTGCCCAGGTCACACAGTATATAAAGGACTGAAGATTCAGATTCAAATCTTACTTCTCATGATCCTTCCACTATGAGGAAGATGTGTCAATGACATAGGTATCTCTTCTTGCTTAGTTCATATTTTTACTGATTTATTTTTGAGACAGGGTATTGCTCTGTTGCCCATTCTGGAGTGGTGCATTCTCGGCTCACAGCAACCTCTGACTCCTGGGTTCAAGCAATTCTGCATCAGCCTCCTGAGTAGCTGGGATTACAGGCATGCACCGCCATGCCCAGAAAATTTTTGTATTTTTAGTAGAGATGGGGTTTTGCCATGTTGGGTATGCTGATCTCCAACTCCTGACCTCAAGTGATCCACCTGCCTCAGCCTCCCAAAGTGCTGGGATTACAGGCATGACCTACCACACCTGGTTCATATTTTAAATAGCACATCATCCTTACTTTTAACCTTGCCTACCATGAGTAACAATTTCTTTGGCACTACCTTAAGGTATTGTGATCTTTCTTTGAAGGCACTTAGGTTTCCCATCTTAAGCTAACCCTCTGGGCTTAGAGAAGTATTCATGAAATCTTTCCATCTTTTCCCCTGCATCATTTCAAACTTGTTTCATTTTTACATTAACACATCCTCTGGGATTACATATATATATAAATAAGATACACTAAATTCAGTGCTTCTCGTGCATCGTGATTGGCCAGACCAGATGGAGTGATTTGTGAACCAGAATTGAAAATCAAAACACAAGTGCTTTTTAAAGAGGTTGAAGTTGAGAAGCAACTGTTCATGGCAGACTTAGAGCTTTAATTCTAAGCGGGTTTGCGTTTGTTTTCAAGCTGTGTCTGACTATGGAATATTGGAACCTCCACCCTGGAGCTACTATATATGTATCTTGCATATACACTGCCCTTGACAAAGAGGGGAGTGTAGCTGGAGCTGAGTTGTGGAGTTTTACAGGGCAATGTGCCTGTTATTATCATAGGATGATAGAAGTGCCAGTTGTTTTGCTTTTGCTTTTGCAGCGCCTGTGTGCAGAAACCAAGAGCAGTGAAAAGTCCCTTTGCTGAATAGGTTCTGGGAGGCCCCCGAGGAACAAATTCTCAAGAGTAAGGCATGTTAATTTCCAGGTGCTTATTCTGAATTTGACTCCTTCTGCTTATTATCATTTAATCCTCAGGATAATCATATGAAATCAGCATTGCAATCCCGGTTTTGCAGAGGATACTGAAAGCATTAGGGTCACAACCAGTATACAGGGGAGCTGATTTAAAAATCAAGGCCGTGACTGCAAAGCACTTAATCTATTGCAATACCATTTCTGAATTTATACAAGGATTTTAGATTGACCAGAAGGCAGGTTTTTTCTGTCCCATAAAGCGGAGAAGGAAGGGCCTAGAATATGTCTCTAAGAGAGATCAGTTTCCTGAGATATATAAAGCTTGGTGGCTTCCAATGCTTGTTTGACTTTTCAGCAGGACCAGACAGAATATGTCATTCAGTAGGACAGTGTTGATGATGATGAAAGTTGTCTTTTTTTTTTTTTTGAGATGAAGTCTCATTCTGTTGCCCAAGCTGGAGTGCAGTGGTGCTATCTTGGCTCACTGCAACTTCCACCTCCTGGGTTCAAGTGATTCTACTGCCTCAGCCTCCCGAGTAGCTGGGACTACAGGCGCGCACCACCATGCCTGGCTAATTTTTTTTTTCTTTTTGTATTGTTAGTGGAGATGGGGTTTCACTGTGTTGGCCAGTCTGGTCTCAAACTCCTGACCTTGTGATCCACCTGCCTCGGCCTCCCAAAGTGCTGGGATTACAGGTGTGAGCCTGGAAAGCACTGTGGCATTATAGCTTATATATAGGATGCATTCACAGAGGCTTGGTGATTGACTTCTACTTTTTTTCCTAGCTATGTTACCTTAAGCAAATTATTCTGTCTACTTCTGTTTCTTCATAAGATGAGGCTAATACAGTCAATCCTCATTATTTCCTGATTGCATATTTGGGAATTTGCCTACTCAATAGTGGTTATTTATAATCCTTAAATCAATGCTTACAAGATTTTGTGGTCATTTGCAGTCATGTCCAGAGCAGCAAAAAATGTAAGTTGCCTGATATGTACATTCCTAGGTGAAATTGAACAAGGCCACAGTCTGCCTTCTTGCTTCGGCTCTCATACTGTGAGTATCCTTTTCAAGGTTTATTTAGTGTCAAGTTTTCACATTTTTATGCTTTTTTGATTGATTCTGCTGTTTAGTATGGCCCCCAAGCAGAGCCTTGATGAGCTCTCTATTGTTTCTCAGTACAAAGAGGCTGTGATGTGCCTTAGAGAGAGAATACATGTGTTAGATAAACCTCACTCAGAATTATGGTGGTGTTGGCCATGAGTTCAATGCTAATGAATCAACAAGATGGTACATCTAACAAAAGGGAGAGAAAATTGGCCTATCTATATGTGAGGCTGCTCTGCAAAGGGCTAAAGGAATATCTATAGCATGTGATGGGGCTATGGAAAAGATGGAAATGAGGCTAAATTTGTGGATTCATGAGATGAGTTTCAAAAACTTAACCCTATATGTTTCTATTAATGGTCAAAGGATTGCCCCCCCCAACCCCAATTAAAATTCTTCTCTCAGATTACAGTATTTTCTCTTAAAGAATCTATAGGCTGGCTGAGCTCTGTTGTTCAGGCCTGTAATCCCAGCCCTTTGGGAGGCAAAGGTAGGAGGATCACTTGAGGCCAGGAGTTTCAGACCAGCTTGAGCAAAATAGGAAGACCTTGTCTTTACAAAAAAAAATTAAAAATTTAGCCGGGCATGGTGGTGTGTGCCTGTAGTCCTTGCTACTCAGGAGGCTGAGGCAGGAGGATTGCTTTCGCTTGAGCCCAGGACTTCAAAGTTATCATGAGCTGTGATCACGCCACTGCACTCCAGCCTGGGGAACAAAGTGAGACCCTGTCTCTAAAGAAAACAACAGGCTGTGCCCAGTGGCTCACGCCTGTAATCCCAGCACTTTGGGAGGCCAAGGTGGGCAGATCACAAGGTCAGGAGATGGAGACCATCCTGGCTAACATGGTGAAACCCTGTCTCTATTAAAAATACAAAAAACAATTAGCCAGGCGTGGTGGCGGGTGCCTGTAGTCCCAGCTACTCGGGAGGCTGAGGCAGGAGAATGGCGTGAACACGGGAGGCGGAGCTTGCAGTGAGCTGAGATCGCGCCACTGCGCTCCAGCCTGAGTGACAGAGCGAGACTCCATCTCAAAAAAAATATATATACATATATATATGTATATATATACACATACATACATACATACATACATACATGTATATGCCACCAGAACAATTGAATTGATTGGACTAGTTATTCAATATCAGCAGAGAGTGGTCTTGGGGGAACAGATTACAGGAGAGGTAAATATTTTGGCAAATACCTGGACCACTGTTTCAGAGAGGACTGTCAATCACAGGGTGGTGATGGGGTTGGGGTACATTGCACAGCTGGAGAAATCCTGACACCTAGAGGGGGCAGGAGTGTTCTGAGAGCCTGCTACAGGTCAGGGGTCACATTTCAGGAGGTGAGGTGAGAACATACACATGGGTAACAAGACTTCCATAGGACAAACTTACTCACTTGCTTTATTTCCCAAGTTTGCCCAGAATTATCAAAGCTTAGAATAAATTATTTTATTGACATGCCTCAGAATGAAAATTCAGCCTATTTGGCTCAAAATAACAGTTGTGATTATTTAGAATCTGTGCTAAACACTATTTGTGTTTTTGCATCATCAAATTGCTTTAGAGTCATTCATTAAACAATTACTCGATTTGACATTGTGTCTCTTAGGGGAATGTTAAAAAAGAATGAAAAAGAACCTAATCCTCATTAAGAACTATTAGCCAAGTGTGACAAACTTTATTTTGTGTTACAGAAAACAGAGATGTCATTTGGTATTGAGTCAACATGAATGGGTTATGACATATTCCACTCTTTAAAATGTCCCGAGGCTGGTGGGATAAACGGAGGAGATCTGCAGATGGTATGCCAAGCAAAGGCGGCTAATGAACCTAGCATTGCTACATAGCAACGGCATTAGCATTTCATTTGTTGGAATGAATTATTTGAGTTTTTCACTTTTTGCCCTGATCTTTATGCAACGGTGTAACTAATGATGAAAAATGAACAAAGCCTTGAAAAATAGGACTTATTAACAAAGGTCACAAGACCTGAAATGATTAAATCTCCAAGAAGGCTGATGGAGTTATTGAGTCGGGATTTTTCAGTGCCCGAATGAGGACTGTCCAGGAGATAGTAACTAGCTGTTCTTTCTCTCTGTGGAATATATTAATAGATATCAAAGGATGTCAACTTGAACTACAATAGGAGTTATTGGGGTGAGTTATGAAAAAGAACTTCCTGCCTGTTTTTGCAGGAAAGGCTAAAACAATTTAGCAAGGAAGATGTGCAATATCATTCTTCTAAGAGTTTTTCCTGTCCCTTCTTCTAAATTAGAGTCAATTATCTTTGACCTGCAAGATGTAAGAACAGTCTGGTGTGAATATAGGGAACCAAATGATGTTCCAATGCCTCCATTTTCAGTAGGCTTGGTTGTTGTAGTCAATGTGGTGTGTTTGATGCTATATGAGTCTACTACTATTCTAAGACTGTATGGCATTATTCTTTTTATGAGAGATCTCAAATTAGAGGTTGAGGATGCAAAGATAACTATTGCCTTGGCCCTGAGGAATTCTTAAAGCATATCCATTTTCCTTGCCTCTACAAGTGCATTGTTGGCAAAAGCAACTTTATTTATATTTTCTTGCTCATTCCCTCCTTCCTTGTCCCCCTCCTTTTTTCTCCCTCCCTATTTCTAACCCATATAGAGTGGTTACTTGAGGGAATGGTTTTATGAATAAAGATTGTATCCTTTGCTCAGGAGCCTTGGTGTGTGATTATAGATTAAAGCTTTCATTTTGAAAGTCAGAGCAATATACAGCCATAAAAATAGCAATAGCAGAATTATTTTAATTATCACATGTGGAAGTTCCAGAAAGATTCAAGACAAATACAGCACTGTAGCTTGTAGGCTTCAAGAGCTAATTATTGAGAGTAGGGTATTAGAATATCTGATTATACTGTGGATGTCTAATTTCTTCTTGTACTCTAATTATACTGATGTTCATGCTGGGGCTGAACAACCACCTCGTGGAGAAAGCCATAGAGATTATTCCTGTGTCAGATATTGGGTTGCACCTGATTCTACACTTCTCACCATTCTTCTTTCTGTCTGTTTGGTTTTGTTTTAGATCCTATACTTACTCATTTCACCACACATAGGCCCCATGGCCTCTTAACTTTTCTTCACGAGAATTTACCATGTGGTTCTCACCTGTTCTTTCTAGGTGATCTAAAATAATTAGGCTCCATGCGATATTGGGGACATAATTACACTATGGGGTGTGGATCACTTGAGGTCAGGAGTTTGAGACCAGCCTGGCCAACATGGTGAAACCCCATCTCTACTAAAAATACAAAAATTAGCTGGGCATGGTGGTGTATGCCTGTAATCCCAGCTATTCGGGAGGCTGAGCACGAGAATCACTTGAACCTGGAGGTAGAGGTTGCAGTGAGCCGAGATTCTGCCACTGCACTCCAGCCTGGGTGATGGAGTGACACTCTGTCTCAAAAAAAATGTTTATTTAAAATCCAAAATTCAAAGTTAACTGGACCTCTGTCCTGTATTTTTATTTGCTAAATCTGAGAACTCTACATCGAGATGGTATTTTCATTAATTTGATGGTGTTAAATGTGATTATTTTGTAACAGCAAATGGATGGTGTCTGTTGGAACTCCATAGTAGTTAACATTGAAAAATTTCTAAAACACAGCTATATATGGTGGTGGTGTTTGAATATTAGTCTCCTCCAAATCTCATGTTGAATTTTGATCCTCAGTGTTGGAGGTGGGGCCTGGTAGGAGATGTTAGGATTTTGTTCACAGATCCTTTATAAAGGGTTTGGTGCTGTCCTTGCAGCATTGAGCAAATTCTCATTCTATTAGTTCCTGTGAGAATTGATTGTTAAAAAGAGCCTGGCACCTCCCTCCCTTGCTCTCTCACCATGTTATCTCTGTATGTGCTATCTCCGCTTTTCCTTCCACCATGAGTAGAAGCAACCTGAAGTCCTTACCAAAAGCATATGCTGGCGCCATGCTTCCTGTACAGCCTGCAGAACTGTGAGCTAAATGAATCTCTTTCCTTTATAAATTACTCAGCTCAGATGTTCCTTTATAGCAAATCAAATGGACTAAGACATGGGGCAGACTCAAACTTTGACTTAGACAGAGTTAATGGTTTAGGAATCAACAGAGCACTTTTGAGTGGAGAAGCCGAGTAAACTATGTTTTACTGGCTAACCAATGTGTGGGAGAATAAGATGGCACTGATCTGTAGTCCTGATCTGGACCATGGGTTTTTCTTGGTATAGTAGAAACTCTGTGATTGTGTTTGTTTAAAGTACTTTGTGACTGTATTTGTATTCACCTGTGAAAATGAAAAGAAAATAGTTCAAAAAGCAAGTGACTCTGTGAGCTAGAGTGAAGAGGTTGCCATGTTGATCATTAACTGCTCTTGCCTGGAGTGATACAGGTGATGTATATTTGAAATTTTGGTAAATATTCTGAGTGTTTTTGAGAAGAATGTGTATTCTGTTGTTTTTGAATACAGCATTCCATAAATGTCAGTTATGTCAAGTTTATTGGTAGCATTCAAGTCTACTATATTATTGTTTATTTTCTGTCTAGTTGTTCTAATAATTATTGAGAGAGAGGTGTTGAAAGATAAGATTCTAAGCTTGGCATTGTGGCTCACACCTGTAATCCCAGCACTTTGGGAGGCCAGGAGTTGAGACCAGCCTACGTAACATAACAAGACCCTATCTTTATAAAAAACAAAATAACAAAAACCAAACAAAAAATATATGATTATAATGTGGATTTCTATATTTCTTCTTGCATTTCTATCAGTAATTGCTTCATGTATTTTGAAGCTCTGTTATTAGGGAATCTAAACATTTAGGATTGCTATGTCTTCCTGTTGAACTGATCCTTTACCCTTTATCTTTTATGAAATGACTTTATCTCTCAAAATAATCTTGGCTCTGGGATCTACTTTGTCTCACATTACTGTAGCCACTTCAACTTTCTTTTTATTAGAGTCTTAGGCTATATCTTTTTCCATTTTCTAACTTTAAATCCATTTGTGTGTTTCTATTTGAAGTGTATTTCTTATAGGCAGCCTATAGTGCTGTCTTACCCAATATGACAATCTCTGCCTTTTAATTGGGTGTTTAGACCATTTACATGTAATGTTGTTATTATTGATATGATTATATTTGAGCTCATAATCTTGCTATTTGTTTTTTATTTATGTCATTTGTTCTTTGTTCCCCTTTTCCTCTTATTCTGCCTACGTTGGGATTAATTGAACATTATGTTCCATTTGATCTCCTCTGTTGACTTATTAACTGTAATTCTTTGTTTTATTGTTTTGGTATTTGCTTTAGGAATATGTCCAATTTAATAGAAGTCTCCTTGATGTAGCCGAGACACACTAAATATGCTCCCAGTTAGGGCCTTTGTTCTCTCTGTTCCTCCTTTTGGAAATGCTCTGTTTATGCTTATATCCACATGACTTCTTTACCCATTTATTGTAAATAGGTTTACATTGATATTTATACTGTAATTGATAATAACAATAATGATATTGTAAATATCAGTTTATCAAATATTTTTCGACTCCCCAAACCTGACCTGCCACTCTACCATTTACCCAGTTCATTTGTTCTTCATAGCCCTTATCTCAGGATTATTTGTTTGTTTATTGTCTCTTTCTTTCCATTGCCGTGTAAGTTTCATGAAAATGATGGACTGTATTTTGTCTACTCCTGAATTTCCAGTATGTAGGACAGTGTGTAACATATCAAACAAATATTTGTTGAATGAATGAATGAATGAATGAAGGTTTCAGAATTGGAGGGAGGACAGACATCTAGGTTAATGTCTAGGTTGATCTGCTGCCATATCTGATCACCTGAATGTGTTTGTCTGAACTAGTGGGATTGGGCATTGCCCTCTGTCAAGGTGCTGCTCTGTGTTTTTTTTTGGAGTTGCACACTTGTTAGAAAGGAAAATCATTTCTAGTCAGCAGAGGAACATTCACTGTTGAAATATACATGAGGAAAGGGTTTGCAGAATTTCTGTGCTCCTTCCTAGCTTCTACACTACGTGCTTCCCAACCCCCATCCCACTTTTCTGGCTTCATATTCACCCTCTTGATTACCTTTTTTTTTTTTTTTTTTTTTAAGATGGAGTCTTGTTTTGTTGCCCAGGCTGGAGTGCAGTGGCACAATCTCGGCTCACTGCAACCTCCGCCTCCTGGGTTCAAGTGATTCTCCCACCTCAGCCTCCGGAGCAGCTGGGATTACAGGTGTGTGCCACCACACCTAGCTAATTTTTGTATTTTTAGTAGAGACGGGATTTTGCCATGTTGGCCAGTCTGGTCTCAAACTCCTGACTTCAGATGATCCTCCTGCTTTGGCCTCCCAAAGTGCTGGGATTACAGGCATAAGCAACCACACCCGGCCTTCGATTACTTTTGTCACAAGTTTCTCAATACCTCAAGGCTCAGAACTTCAAAGGCATTTTTCAGAAAATGTATATAATAATGTGTGTAAGGGGAAGAGAAGAAGAGAAAGGAAGACATAATGATACAGCAAATAGGATAAGATGTGACATTTGAGAAATTTGGGTGAGGAGCTATGGAAATTATTTATAGTAATTTTTGCAACTTTTGTGTAAGTCTGAATTAAAGAAAGTAACTTTGAGCTTCATTGCTTCCATCCCTTCCTCCAGTCCCTATAGCCAATAGGGTCTCCACCTCCTGTTGTTTCAGTTTGACATTTGACTTTGTACCCAGCGCCTCATTTCATTTCCCTCTGGCCATACCCCACTTACTGTTCCCATTGCTCTCACATCCTCTTACCTAGACTCTTGCAATGATTCTGGAACTGGCCTCCTGAGTCAGTCACTCCTGGTTGCTGTTCACCCCACACATGCCTGCCTGGATGCTTGGGCTGAAATACAGATCTAATTATATCACTCCTCTGCTCAATTGCCTGTGCTGTTCCCTCGTTGCTGGCCCTTAGCTAGTAGCTTGATAGCTTTCCACAATTATCACCACACTCTCTGGTCGGACTTATTTCCCACTTTGCCCCTCTGTGTTTGTCTCACTTGATCCCTTGCCATTCTAGGAATGCACCCTCACTTTTCACTTTTCTCTTCTCTTTGCTGTCTCTCCCATCTCTCTTTTTTTTTTTTTTTTTCTCTCAGAGACAGGGTCTTCTTGCTCTGTTGCCCAAGCTCCGCAGTGCAGTGGCACGATCACGGCTCACTGTAGTCTCAACCTCCGCCGCTCAAGTGATCCTCCCACTTCAGCCTCCTGAGTAGCTGGGACTACAGGGATATACCACCACATCTGGGTAGTTTTTGTATTTTTTGTAGAGATGGGGTTTCGCTACATTACCCAAGCTGGTCTTGAACTCCTATGCTCAAGTGATCCACCCCTCCTGGCCTCCTAGAGTGCTGGGATTACAGGCAGGAGCTTCCACACCAGGCCCTCTTCCATCTCTTTCTGTCAAAGGTCTTCTCCAAAGGCTATCTCCTCTGCAAGCCTTCTCTCATCCCCTAGTAAACAGGAAATTTCTTATGAAGGTTGAGAGTCTCTAGTACTGAGATTTGTACCTTTATTATGGAGTTTACATTTCTGGCTTCACCTGGAAGCTGTGAAGACTTTGAGAGAAAGAAACTCATCTCATTCATCTTTGTATCTCTGTAAACGTAGAACACCTCTGCAACTTTACACATAAAGCTAATATTGCCCAGGTTTTCTTCTAGGGTTTTAACGGTTTTAGGTTTTACATTTAAGTCTTTAATCAATCTTCAGTTAATTTTTGTATAAGTTGTAAGGAAGGGGTCCAGTTTCAGTTTTGTGCATATGGCTAGCCAGTTTTCCCAGCACCATTTATTAAATAGGGAATCCTTTCCCCATTGCTTGGTTTTGTCAGATTTGTCAAAGATCAGATGGTTGTAGATGTGTGGCATTATTTCTGAGGCCTCTCTTCTGTTCCATTGGTCTATATGTCTGTTTTGGTGCCAGTACCATGCTGTTTTGATTACTGTAGCCTTGTAGTATTGTTTGAAGTCAGGTAGTGTGATGCCTCCAGCTTTGTTCTTTTTGCTTAGGATTGTCTTGGCTATGCAGGCTCTTTTTTGGTTCCATATGAAACTTAAAGTAGTTTCTTCTAATTCTGTGAAGAAAGTCAATGGTAGCTTGATAGGGATAGGATTGAATCTTTAAATTACTTTGGGCAGTATAGCCATTTTCACGATATTGATTCTTCCTATCCATGAGCATGGAATGTTTCTCCATTTGTTTGTGTCCTCTCTTATTTCCTTGAGCAGTGGTTTGTAGTTCTCCTTGAGGAGGTTCTTCACATCCCTTGTAAGTTGTATTCCTAGGTACTATTCAGGACATAGCGTGGGCAAAGACTTCATGACTAAAGCACCAAAAGTAATGGCAACAAAAGCCAAAATTGACAAATGGGATCTAATTAAACAAAAGAGCTTCTACACAGCAAAAGAAACTATCATCATAGTGAACAGGCAATCTACAGAATGGGAGAAAATTTTTGCAATCTACTCATCTGACAAAGGGCTAATATCCAGAATCTACAAGGAGCTTAAACACATTTACAAGAAAAAAACAACCCCATCAAAAAGTGGGTGAAGGATATGAATGGACACTTCTCAAAAGAAGACATTCATGTGGCCAACAAACATATGAAAAAAAGTGCATAATCACTGCTCATTAGAGAAATGCAAACCAAAATTGTGGTGAGATACCACCTCATGCCAGTTAGAATGGCGATCATTAACAGGTCAAGAAACAATTGATGCTGGAGAGGATGTGGAGAAATAGGAACGCTTTTACACTGTTGGTGGAAGTGTAAATTAGTTCAACCATTGTGGAAGATGGTGTGGAAATTCCTCAAGGATCTAGAACAAGAAATACCATTTAACCCAGCAATCTCGTTACTGGGTATATACCCAAAGGATTATAAATCATTCTACTATAAAGACACATGCGCACGTATGTTTATTGCAGCACTATTTACAATAGCAAAGACTTGGAACCAACCCAAATGCCCGTCAATGATAGACTGGATAAAGAAAATGTGGCTCATACACACCATGGAAAATGATGCGGACTTAAAAAAGGATGAGTTCATGCCCTTTGCAGGGAAGTGGATGAAACTGGAAACCATCATTCTAAGCAAACTAACACAGGAACAGAAAACCAAAACACCGTATGTTCTCACTCATAAGTAGGAGTTGAACAATGAGAACACATGGACACAGGGAGGGGAACATCACACACCAGGGCCTGTCGGGGGATTGGGGGACTAGGAGAGGGATAGCATTAAGAGAAATACCTAATATGGATGATTGGTTGATGGGTGCAGCAAACCACCGTAGCATGTGTGTACCTATGTAACAAAACTGCACGTTCTGCACATGTATTCCAGAACTTAAAGTATAATCAAAAACTAATAAATATTTGCTGAATTGAACTGAATTAATTTTGAATTTCATTATCGTTACCCTAATGGCTACCTCTACAGAGCCATTATCCATCGAACTGTTTCATTTGAATTATATTCATTTTCACCATAATTTTCAAAAGACCCAGTCAGCTAAATTATTCTATATGGTATTCTGATTAGCAAAGGCACAGAAATGATCCAGTGTTTCAGAATTTCCAAGAAAACCATGGGGAGGTATAAGCTGGCGAGAACTTACGTTCAGAATAATTTACAAAGCTTCTGCCATTGTTGAAATCATGCTTTTTCTTATATCCTTAAATTTACTACATAAGTAGAGAGGTGCTTATGTAGGTTTGGGTCTTAATAAAGCCCATAAAATATGGTCACAAGCATCCTTTCTATAGGACCTGTGATTCACACCCTACATAGTTGAGGACTGGCTAATTTCAAAGTTGAAGAACAACCTTTTATGAAATTTTTGTTTGTTGACTCGATTTTACTTTTTATTTTTGCCACAGATTTCAATCATTAGAATCGTATACAGAGGTATACCTGCTGTTGGAATGTATATTTTTTGAAGGGTGAAAAAGGAACGTAGATGGTGATTTCTAAAATTTTTTTTATCATTTCATTGGCTGTGAAGATTTTCTGTTTTTTAAAATATGTCTGAATTAAAGAGATTCAAAGCAATATGACATAGAATAGTTGCTGACATTTGTACTTCCTGGTTAAGAGCGATGTATGGTATGTAAGGAATGAAATACCCTATAATATTGCTCTACAAGTAAAATGCCATGGCTTGATTTTGTGAATTCTTCCTCTTTGCAAGCTGAAGGCAGTGCTTCCTTTATCTGTTCTTTGTATCTATTTCATGATCTATTACACTACCTTCTGTGAATTGAAAAATTATAGTATTTTAAAATCCATTGAAATACTTAGTAAAGGTCTATTTGTTTTTACTCCCTTCTTGAGTTTACTGTTTTCTCTTGAAATGAGTAGTATTTTTCTAACACGTTAGTGAGACAGGCATTAAATTCCAGGGAAAATCTATTTTTATTATGTGGATGCACTTTGACTTATGATAGGGTTACATCCTTATAAACCCATCATAAGTTGAAAATATCATAAGTAGAAAATGCGTTTAATATACCTAACCCACCTAACATCATAGCTTATCCTAGGCTACCTTAAATATGCTCAGAGCATTTACATTCGCCTACAGTTGGGCAAAATCATCTAACACAAAGCCTGTTTTATAATAAAGTGTTGAGTATTTCATGTAATTAACTACTGTACTGATACTGGAAAACAAAATAGTTGTATGACTACTTGAAGTATGGTTTCTACAAAATGCCTATTGCTTTTGTACCATTGTGAAGTAAAAAAAACTGTTAAGTCAAATGATCATAATAAGTTAGGGACTATCGTATTTTTACTTCAAGAACTCTAAGATATATTTTTTCCCATTCTTATTGTCTAATTTCCAAACTATTAGCATTGTTTCATTTAATTTTACTTTTAACTTTGTTATGGATAATTAGATTCATAAGTATTTTAAAATTATCTACAAATCCAGACCCTCTTTAGTCCTGAATTGTGAGATTCCAGAAGTCTTTGTAACTAGTTCCGTTGATACTCCTGATTCACATAACTAAGTGAGTGTGTAGTTCTGTTGGCTGCAGCTGTGTTACCTTACAGAGAGGGTCAGCACAGCTCCATAGAGAGGGCCAAACGCTGGCCTAATGTTAGTGGAGGCAGTTTGTTTAAGTCTGGGCACCAAGACAGCTCAGCATGGACCAACCATAGACATGTGACAGGTGCATCTGCTGCCAACAGTTTTATGGGATTGTTATGGTTAGGGTTAGGTTAGGAGAGTTTTCTGAGTCCTTGAATTGCACAGAGATTTTTTTTTTTTTTTTTTTTGGAGCCGGAGGCTGGAGTGCAATGGCTCAATCTCTGTTCACTGCAACCTCCACCTTCCGGATTCAAGAGATTCTCTAGCCTCAGCCTCCCAAGTAGCTGAGATTACAGGCACCCGCCATCATGCCTGGCTAATTTTTGTATTTTTAGTAGGGACAGGGTTTCACTATGTTGGCCAGGCTGGTCTCCTCGAACTCCTGATCTCAGGTGATGCGCCCACCTCCGCCTCCCAAAGTGCTGGGATTACAGGAGTAAGCCACCACACCCAGCCATTACAGAGGCTTTTTAAGGACACTTTCTGGGTGTTAAACATAAGTCTAATATAGATACCTTGAGCATACCTCAAATAAGTAATCCCCCCAAATTTCCTTCTAGTTGTTCCCTTATGATTACCTCATTCTCATCCTATGTCTACTTTCTTTCTCAGTTTTGCTTTGAGCCATTTTTTGCTGGAAGAGTTTGAGTAATTTGTAACTACTTCAAAATAATTACAGGAAAAGACCTTGTATGTGTTCAAACCATTTCAGTTCTTCTCTGTTTGCTTTTATGGGATTAGATGATTAGATTCTGCCTGTCAATTGCAGCTTGTTCTCACTCTGTATTTTTGTGCTATGGTCATAACCGATTTCTGGTAAGGATCCAGTAGCATATTTTAATAGCAACACATTTATTTGCTACTTCCAAAATTTCTACATGATTTCTTCATGCCTAGAAATTATACAGAACTGTTCTTATTAAAAATTAAACATTCACCATAATCTTCTCAATGGCACTTTTTGTTGTGATTCTTGCACAGTTAGCTAATTACAGAGCAGGTCAATCATTCCTATGTATTCTTTCTACTGTGGTCTTACCACTACCTGCACAGGCGTGCCTACCAACATCTCAACAGTCTCTCCATGCTGATTTGTAGATGTTTAAGCCAGCTTGAACTTCTAAGAATAGCCTGCTTCAGGCATAGACAAATCCCTTCTCCAACATCTGAGCCTCCCTACACCCCAGTGAAAGCTAAACCTTATCACCAAGGAACTGAAACGAGGCCTACCTCCTGACATTCCCTATTTATCTTAGCAGTACCATTGTTCTTCCCATCACAGACCTCAGAGTCATCTTTGATTCTTCTTTTCTTCCCAGACCCCGAACTTGAACCATTCAGTGAGCCTGACTTCAAGTGTGCAGCTGACCAGGGCACTCCTATGGAAAGTGGGTTCATAGGTTCCGATCTTGACTCTACTTCCAGTTAACTAGAGACCTCTGTTGTGCTCCAGGTTATCTGCCTACTACTGTCTAAACATGTTTTACTCATTTCCCAGACCTTTTTGCCCAGGCTCTGCTATGGCCCACTGGCCACTGATGCCTCCTGCTAGACTAGCCCACTGCTTGTTTTAAACACACTAGAAACATTGCTCTAATGTGGGCAGTTTCCAGGCTCGATGCTCTATTTTACTGATATGTCAGGTCACAGGTACAATTGGCAGGTCACAGGTGCAATTTCTTTTCTTTCTTTTTCTCTCCTTTTTTTTTTTTTTTTTTTTTTTTTTTTTTTTCTGAGACAGGGTCTCACTCTGTCACCTAGACTGGTATGCCATAGTGTGATCTTGGCTCACTGTACTCACCTCCTGGGTTTAAGCGATTCTCCTGCCACAGCCTATTGAGTAGCTGGGATTACAGGCAGCCACCACCATGCCTGGCTAATTTTTGTGTTTTTAGTAGAGATGGGGTTTTGCCATGTTGGCTAGGCTGGTCTCGAACTCGTGACCTCAGGTGATCCGCCCACCTCAGCCTCCCTAAGTGCTGGGATTACAGGCATGAGCCACTGCCTCTGGCCTAGATCACATGTGCAATTTTATTTTATTTTTTATTTTTTTTATTTTTATTTTTTTATTTTTTGAGACGGAGTCTTTCTCTGTTGCCTAGGCTGTAGTCCAGTGGTGCAATCTCGGCTCACTGCAAGCTCCGCCTCCTGGGTTCACGCCATTCTCCTGCCTCAGCCTCCTGAGTAGCTGGGACTACAGGCGCCCGCCACCATGCCTGGCTAATTTTTTGTATTTTTAGTAGAGACAGGGTTTCACCATGTTAGCCAGGATGGTCTCGATCTGACCTCATGATCTGCCTGCTTCAGCCTCCCAAAGTGCTGGGATTACAGGTGTGAGCCACTGCGCCCGGCCCACATGTGCAATTTTGCATTGATCAGTTCTAATCCTGAAATGCTATATAGTAAAACCCAAAGTTCTTATGGAAGGAACAGAGACAAACTTTCATTTTTGGCAAGGAGACAGGATTACAATCTGCTGTGTGTTAGCTGAGTGGAGTATGGGTTTACTTAAATTGCGTTGAGTTTAAATAAGTTTTGGATTTATTAGGCAACATTTGAATCAACTACTTACTGGGTTAGGACTTTCATCGTATATTTCTATATTCCTTCTACAGTATTCATGTTTTCTTCATGAAAATACTGATAGCAATGATATTCCCCCTTGATTGTTTTATAAGCTATATTCTCCTACTTCTTCCTATATTTTCTCTCCCTACACAATTGTTATGGTGATTCTAAGCTTTTATCTTCAGTTTTTATTGAGCTCATCAATGATCAAAGTACATCAACATGAGAAAAGATGATATGTTACTAAATATATATGGCTTTATATATATATATAGCAGTATTTAGTGTATATACATGTATACATTTATAGAACTAAGCATATAATATAGCATTTAGTAAGTTGTGATAAACTTAACAAGAAAATGTACGAATGTTGGTATTTTTCAGTTATTCTTGTCCAATTGAGTTATCCTAGACACCGGAAAATTTTCATCTCTGGCAGAAAAAAATCAGTTAATATAATTTTCTCTGTTGAAAAATTTTGTTTAGAGAATTCTATAGATTTTTAACTGCTGTCAAGAAAAAGGTTTGTCTTGCTTTTTGGAGTGATATGATCTTGAAAATTAGTGTGTAAAGTGATTTATTTAAAATACAGTCATGTGGCACTTAATGTTTTGATCAATGACAGACCACATATACAACATATACAACAGTGGTCCAACAAGATTATAATGGAGGCCGGGTGCAGTGGCTCAAGCCTCTAATCTCAGCACTTTGAGAGGCCGAGGCAGGTGGGTAACTGAGGTAAGGAGTTCGAGACCAGCCCGGCCAACATGGTGAAACCCTGTCTCTACTAAAAATACAAAAAATTAGCTGGATGTGGTGGTGTGCACCTGTAATCTCAGCTACTCAGGAGGCTGAGGCAGGAGAATCACTTGAACCCAGGAGGTGGAAGTTGCAGTGAGCCAAGATCATGCCATTGCACTCCAGCCTGGGCAAAAAGAGTGAAACTCTGTTAAAAAAAAAAAAAAAAAAAAGATTATAATTATAATGGAGCTGAAAAATTCCTGTCACCTAGTGACGTTGTAGCACAATGCATTACTCATGTGTTTGCAATGGCGCTGGTGTAAACAGACTTCTACTGCTAATAGTATAAAAATCTAGCACGTACAATTACGTACAGTACATAATGCTTGATGATAAATGACTATGTTACTGGTTTACTTATTTACCTTACTTTTTATTGTTATTTTAGAGTGTACTCCTTCTACTTATATGTATAAAAAAGCCAACTGTGAAATAGCCTCAGGCGGGTCCTCCAGGAGATATTCTAGAAGAAGGCATTGTTATCATAGGAGATGACAGCTCCATGTGTGTTACTGCCCCTGAAGACCTCCCAGTGAGATGAGATGCAGAGGTGGAAAACAGTGACATTGATGATCCCAACCCTGTGTAGGACTAGGCTAATAGGTGTGTTTGTGTCTTAGTTTTTAACAAAAAAGTTTAAAGGTAAAAGTAAAACAAACAAAAAGGTAAAATAGAAAAAAGCTTATAAAATAAGAATATAAAGACAAAGTATTTTTGTATAGCAGTACAGTGTTTGTGTTGTACGCTGTTATTGTGAGTCAAAAAGTTAAAAAAATTTAAAAGTTTATAAGGTAAAAAAGTTACAGTAAGCTGAGCCGAATTTATTATTGAGGAAAGAACTGTTTTTAAAATAGAGTGTAGCATAAGTGTACGGTGTCTATAAAGTCTACAGTAGTGTATAGTGACGTCCTAGGCCTTCCCTTTCACTCGTCACTCGCTCACTCACCCAGAGCAACTTCCAGTCCTGCAAGGTCTATTCATGCTAAGTGTCTTATATTTTTTTCTTGTATTCTATATTTTTACTGTACCTTGCACTGTACCTTAGATATGTTTAGATACACAAATACCACTGTGTTACAGTTGCCTACAGTGTTCATTACAGTCACATGGGTACAGGTTTGTAGCCTTAGGAGCCAAAGGAATAGATGATACCATATAGCCTAAGGTCTGCAGTAGGCCATACCATCTAGATTTGTTTAAATACACCCTATGATGTTTACACAATGACGAAATAATCAAACGACACATTTCTCAGAACATGTCCTCATTGTTAAGTGACACACGAGTGTGTATACACCGTAGTATTCATGGGGGTGTAAATTGGTGAGCCATTTGGCAGGATCTGGTGGAGTTGAAAATGTGCATGGCCCATGGCCCATCAGTTCCTCTTCCACATTTCCACATAGAAATGTTCTCCCAAATGTGCACCAGTATATGCTTGAATAGCTAAGGCCATAACACTAAAAACTAACAAACAGTGAAGCATTGCAATTTGGTCCAGGTACTTTACAGTCATAATTTTATTTAATCCTATTGTAACTTACCATCTTACAAAACTCTTACCTTAGTTATCATAAGTTGAGTTGATTTTCTTGAAGGTAGAATTCCAAGCATCTGCTCATCACTAAAAAGTCATTTCCTTACTTTAAATATTTGTACTTACATTGCTTTTTAAGAGTCTTAGTTTATTGCAGAATGTTTATAAAGCAATGTTAACCATAAAGGTGATGGGGCCATTTTCACTTTAACAAAAATAACCCTAGTGTTTCACCTTTAAGAGAGTGTAGCTTTAGGGTCCCAAATAAGAGGTAAACAGTGACAGTATATGGGAATATATTTAATAAAAACTTAATTAAGATGTGCAGTACCTTAGTCGGTGGACAAGGAAACAGCCTTAAATAAATGAGAACACATAATTCATTGACTCCATGTAAGTAAAAATAGACATTCTCATCAACTTAATATATATTTTGTTTGCATACATTTACAGTGGTATTTTATTTGTTAGATCTGGAAAAATTTTATTGAAAGGAAGAAAGTGTGGAATTATGTTTAAACATTTGAAAAAAGAAGACTAAAAGTGAATAACTGAATCAGATATTAAAGCTTGTTCTAAGGCTATCATAATTAGAAGCATGATATTGACTCAAGCCTAAAAAGTTCAGTGTTCTTTTTGCTGTATTTCAGCCTACTGACTCAAGCTTGTCGTTCACATCACAGCCTTGTCTCATTCTGCTTTTTAAAAATTTCTACCTGTTTAATGACCATGTCAACCCTTCTCCTCATCACTGAGTTGTCTTATCATTGCAATATTTTTATGTCTTATTTTATAGTCAGGGCTTTGCTTTATGTTCAGAAGGACATCCCGAATGCTGTTTCCTTCTATTTTCTATCATAAATCTTTTCTTTTCTTGCAGAGGTGGGGTCTTGCTATGTTGTCCATGTTGGTCTCAAACTGCTTGCCTGAAGAAATCCTCCTGCCTCAGCCTCCCAAAGTGCTGGGATTGCAGGCGTGAGCCGCTGCACCCAGTCACAGAAATCTATTTTAAATGTTTGCAATATGGGCAGGCTTTGCGCCCCCACCCAAATCTGATCTTGAATTACGATCCCCATAATCCCCACAGGTCAAGGGAGAGACCAAGAGGAGGTAATTGGATCATGGGGGCCATTTCCCCCATGCTGTTCTCGCGATAGTGAGTTCTCATGAGATCTGATGGTTTTATAAGTGTTTGGTAGTTCCTCCTGTATTCATTCTCCTCCTTGACACCTTGCGAAAAAGGTGCCTTCCTTCCCCTTCACCTTCTGTCATGATTGTAAGTTTTCTGAGGCTTCCCCAGCCATGTGGAACTGTGAGTCAATTAAACCTCTTTCCTTTATAAACTGTCCAGTCCTCGGTATGTCTTTATAGCAGTGTGAGAATGAACTAACACAGTGTGTTTTTTTCTTTTCATTTAGTGCAATGTTCTAATTTTTTGATATTGCAGATTCTTTTATAGAGTCCTTTTTTTCTTATTTTGTCAATTGCAATGGAAGAATGTAAACAGATGAATACTTCTGCTCGCTGATCCCTTTATACTGCAAGAATCTTACTATTACAGTTGATAGTTTGGTGAAGTAAATTTTCAGTCACAGCAACAAAAATTAAGTGGGTGAGATCCAGAGCCATGGGAATTCTGGGGAAGGAAAGTTAGTCTCTGCAGGGTTTGCTCTGTGTTTCACTGGAAATATCCTTTTTACAGCCAATTTTCAGTTTGCCAGATTTCCATGCCAGGTATGAAGTGTAACTGTGTTCAGTCGAATGAGTGTATCAGGAATCCTTTTGAAGCACCGAGAAGTTTTATCCTGTGAATAATCTGTGAGTAATTATGTCAGCTGCTTCTCCAGAAACTAGTTCACGAATAAAACTTCAGTTTGTGCATGGGTTGTCACGTAGGAAGAAGGAAAGGTGTAATGCTGAGTTATTTTCAGTTCTGAGAGCCCACGGTCACAGTGGCTCCCTAGAAGCTAATCATGGTGGATATACTTTCTTTTTGGAAGAGCCTCTGAGGCTTGGGCGGAGTAGCATTGAAGAGATAGAAACTAGCTTCTCTGGCTCCAGCAAATAGGGTTACTGAAAGCCTCTTCATCTATAATTACTGAGCCTTCTATTTTGTCCAAAGTCCCAGTACTCATTATCAGGATATTCTGGGTGTATCCTAAAATACTCAGGTGTAGTTGTAGTTTTTTTTTGTTTGTTTCTTTTCCTAAAAGCTACATTATCTATGCATAGCATCCTACCTATATTCCTTCCCTTCTTCTCCTTCCCTTCCCTTTCCTTTCCCTTCCATTCCTTCCTATTCTTCCCCTTTCCCTTCCTCTCCTTCTCTTCCCTTCTCTTTCTTTCCTTTTCCTTTCCTTCCTCTCCTTTCCTTCCCTTCCCTTTCCTTCCCTCATGTTCCCTTCCCTTTCTTTCCTTCCTCTCCTTTCCTTCCCTTCCCTTTCCTTCCCTCACGTTCCCTTCCCTTCCCTTTCCTTCCCTCACATTCCCTTCCCTTCCCTTCTCTCCCCTTTCCTCCTTCCCCTCTTCCCCTTCCTTTCATTCTCTTTCCTTGCTTCACTTTCCCTTCCCATCTCTCCCCTCCCCTCTCTTCTCCTCCCCTCCCCTCCTCTCCTCTCCTCCTCTCCTCTCCTTTTTAAAAAATAGAGGTAACATCTCTCTATATTGCCCAGACTGGTCTTGAACTCCTGGGCTAAAGTGATCCTCTTGCCTTGGCTTCCCAAAGTGCTGGGCTTACAGGCATGAGCCAGCTCTCTGTCCTCACTTCATTTCTTTTCTATCTTCAGTGACTTCATTTTGGGATATATATTTGCATCTTTAATGAAAACTCCCATTTGCTATAGGAGGCCTGCTCTGTTAGAAATATTTTGACCTTCAAAGGACATATTAAATAGAAATCTCAGACCTCTTGTCAGCTCCTCCATTTCAGACATTGTAGAGCGATCACATTTAGTCTGTGATTTTATGATTTTTAAAGAAGGAGAAAATTCCTTGAGGGTCATTGTCATGTCTGATAATTCTCTTTCAAAAAGTGGAGCTAGTTCAGTACACTATGCAGCACATGTTTGCTAAATGAATAAGAACATTCTAGTCAGTTTTTTGTCTTAATATTTGAATTGTGGTTTGGGGGGTTTTGTTTTCACTGAAGTGGTAAATAAGTAATCTGTTCTCATAAACATTACTGAAATGATCTCCTGACAGAAGAAAAGGAGGAGAATAGATGGATGTATAAGAGTTATGGGGTTGAATTAGGAGGCAGGAGGAGAGATAGAAGTTAATTGGAGTAAGAATGAGGGATTTACATATTCTATTTTAGGATAATGAATGGAATTGAGAGACGAAGGGACTGGCAGTGAGGAGCATGGTAGTGGCGGTGGTTGTGATGTGTGTGTCTGTGTATCTGTGAGGGAAAAGGATAAGAGAGAAGGGTTACTGAAAAGAAAACAATAGAATAAATCGAAGTAATAAAAAACAACTCCCTGAGTAAAGTTGTGTGGCACAAAAGAACACAGAAGAGACGTGGCCAGTCCTGAAATGGAAGTGCAGTGAGACAGGCAACAATACAAACCTCCTCGAACTGAACGTGTATGGAAGTCATCCGGGAATGGAAAAGGAGATTTTCTGAGGTGAATGAAAAAGCATGAAACAGAA
This sequence comes from Homo sapiens, assembly GCF_000001405.40. Lineage (NCBI taxonomy): Eukaryota > Metazoa > Chordata > Mammalia > Primates > Hominidae > Homo > Homo sapiens. Next base: position 16,296,009 of record NC_000010.11, on the reverse strand, counting down.
TGGACCAATGTTCATTTAGAGAAATGAAATAGAAATAGACAGGACTGAAGATGAATATAGGAAAGAAGAAACTGGAAATGAAGCCAGAAATGAAGAAGATAGAGAAATCCAGTACAGATTAGTAAAGATGAGCTAGAGAAGAGGACTCTAATTTTAGTTACATTATCTCTATTTAATTACATTTAAAGATCATCTCAACGTGAATGTTCAGTATTCATTTGCTTTGGATACATGAATTTTCAGTATTCGTTTGCTTTGGATTGAAAGATTTGGTAAAGATGAAGTCCTCAGAAATGAGGTATCACAATCTGGGAGAATTTGCTAAAAAAAAAAAAAAAGAGAGAAATGAGGGTAGACCTGTGAAAATGGTGATATATATTTTTATAAGACAAAAAGGTACACAGAGTTTTATATTTCCATAACAAAACTTAAAGTAACAAGTCAGAATACATGTTTCACAAAAATAGAAAATGGCAATATTGTGAAACTACGGTGCATTGCTTCAAACATGCACGCTCTTTCATAGATCATCTTCTTCAGACCCAAGATGGCGGTATTAGGGTCTATGATGGACTTACTGGCAGCCAGCTTACTGTGAGGGCCTTGGAAAGAATCTCAGGTTCTTTTTTTTTTCTCCAAAGGTTAAAATTACCTAGACTCCCCAGAAATCTTAATTGTAGAATGTAATTGTCAGTGTCTACTACTTATACATTCTTTTCCTTTTCTGTATCATCCCGCCTTTTTTTTTTTTGAAATGAGGTTTTGCTCTGTCACCTAGGCTGGAGTGCAGTGGCATGATCTCAGCTCACTGCAACCTCCGCCTCCCAGACTCAAGCGATCCTCCTCCCGCTTCAGCCTCTTGAGTAGCTGGAACTACAGGCGTGCACCAGCATACCTGGCATATATGTATATATATATACATATATATATATATATATATATATATATATATATATATATATATATATATATATATAATTTTTTTTTTTGTCATGGAGTCTTGCTTTGGAGTGCGGTGGCGTGATCTCGGCTCACTGCAACCTCTGCCTCCTGGGTTCAAGTGATTCTCCTGCCTCAGCCTCCCAAGTAGTTGGGACTACAGACATGCACCACCACGCCCGGCTAATTTTGTTATTTTTAGTAGAGATGGGGTTTCACCATGTTGGCCAGATAGTCTCGATCTCTTGACCTCGTGATCTGCCTACCTCGGCCTCCCAAAGTGCTGGGATTACAGGCGTGAGCCACCGCTCCCAGCCTAATTTTTATATTGTTTTAGAAATAGGGTTTCACCATGTTGCCCAGGCTGGTCTCAAACTCCTGAGCTCAAGTGATCTGCCCACCTCAGCCTCTCAAAACACTGGGATTACAGGCATTAGCCACTGCCCTCAGCCTCATCTCACAGAACTTTTTTAAGCCTCTTTTCCAATAGATGATGTTCTTCCCTGGACCAAACACTTAAAAAGACAAATCTACTTTTTGTAGCGTCTTTTCAAATCCCACCCAAGTCTAATCACCAGAAGCCCTGGAGCAATTTCTTTGTCCCTAAACACCCTTCCCACTGTGTCTTGTATTCAGCACGTACAAGTATGTGATGGTTCACCAAGATCCACTTTATGTTCTCAATATCTGCCTGTGACATTTAAGTTCTCTACAAATGAGAGAAATTAATGTTCCACTTATAAAATCATAGAATGTTGGAACTGGGAGGGAAGTTTAGAGATCATCTAGTCAAACTTATTATGAGTCATTTGTTAACAGCTCCAAGGGACTCATTCGCAACAGGGAATATAAACAATTAAGGCCTCTTAATAAACTCTATAGTAAGAAAAATTACAGGATTCCCCCAAGGAAGGAAATGAAGCTAAGTGCACTAATTTGGACAGATGCTTGAACAGCATCACCAACACATGCAGGCACAAATGCAGGGCAATGTTGATTCAGTAGAGTAGATGAGACTTCAAATCAAACAGAGACATTTATGAAGCATAGCATCATGATTAAGATCGCCCAAGGTATCAGACAATCAAAACTGTGATCCAGAAATATCAGAGGCACACAGTCTAGCTCCCAGAGAAAAACCACAGACCACACTGTTAGCATCATTTTTCTTCTGAATCTGTAGCCTAATACACCCAGTGCTCAAAATGTTACCAAGGAACCCTATCACAGAATAGGCTCATAAGGAGGCTTAAAACAACCACCACCGCCACCACAAACGACCCAGTTTTGTGGGATACACTTGCTAAAATCCTTATAGAGCTCTGGGGTAAGTACCTGGCTTCCCTAGTTCCTGCTGAGGTCGTTAAAGTTGATTCACATCATTAATTACATTTCCCCCACACCAAGAGGACAGTGTGGGGGAAATGTAACTGAAAGTTTCTACTGTATTCTAGTTCTCCGTCAGCAGGATTGGGTGTGTGAGGAGGTCCGTCTGAAAGTGCTCTAAGGTTTCTGGCCTGGAGACGTCATCCCGAGTTTATAAGCTTCAGCTTATGTTTTGCCTTCACTATGGAGTCTTTGCTGATCTCTCAACCCTAGATGAGCAGTTTTAATTAAAGTTTACTTTTTGCAGAGAAAAGGGAACTCGTATATACAGTGAGTCCAGCCACAAAGGAAAAACAGTCTGAAGATTTCTCAAAAAACTAAAAGTAGAATCACCATCCCATCCAGCAATCCCATTATTGGCTATCTACGCAAAAGAAAAGAAATCAGTGTATCAAAGGATACCCAACCTCACATGTTTATTGCAGTACTATTCACAATAGACAAGATATGGAATCAACCTAAGTGTTCATGAATGGATGAACTGATAAAATGTGATATATATATGTGTGTGTGTGTGTGTGTGTATGTGTATGTGTGTATGTATATATGTATGTATGTGTATGTGTGTATGTATATATGTATGTATGTGTATGTGTGTATGTATATATGTATGTATATGTGTGTGTATATATATATACACATAAATACACACATATATACACATACATACACAATGGAGTAATATTCAGCCATAAAACAAGAATGAAATCATGTCATTTGCAGCGACATAGATGGAGTTGGAAGTCATTATCTTAAGTGAAATCAGCCAGGTGCAGAAAGACAAATATTGCCTGTTCTCAATTATATGTGGCAGCTAAAGAATTTGATAGAGAGAATTAGGTAGAGAGTGGAGAGAGAGACTGAGAAAGGTGGGTGGGGAGGAGGTGGAGGATGAAGAGAAGCTTGTTAAAGGGTACAAACATACAGTAAGATAGAAGGAAAACATTCACCGTTCAGTAGCAGAGTGGGATGACTATGCTTAACAAAAATGTAGTGTACTTGGGTGTTGGACACCCTAAATACCACGGCTTGGTCATTACGCATTATAGACATATTACACAGTTTCTCATGTACCTTGTAAGTTTGTACAAATAAAAAAGTTAGTCTCTTCCTTTGGCCTCTTACTGTTCTTGAAGACCAGTGAGGCATAAGGTGGCACTGTGTCCTCTGTGGAATTTTAAAAATGTGTGAAGTTTTTTTGTTCACTAGACTAGCAGGCACTTCTGGTGTTCAGTGGGTAGGAGCTAGTTCTGTTCAACGAAGAAGTATTCTGTGGCCAGGCACGTAGTGGCTCGTGCCTGTAATCCCAGCACTTTCGGAAGCCAAGGTGGAAGGAGCGCTTGAGCCCAGGAGTTCAAGACCAGCTTGGCCAACATGGTGAGACCTCATCTGTATTTTTTTTTTTAAAGTAGTATTCTGTGTCCAGTATTTTTACATAATTTTAATATACAGTGACTTTTCCAGAAGTTCAACTACCGCATACGTGGAGAAAATTGCATATTGTTTTGTTTGGAATGTTACCAAGTCAATGGCAGTGCACTCAGGTATTTGAATATCCAATACCTATCACTTCTATCATTCTGCATTTGCAGATCTACAGTCAGGATAATTCTATGGATGAGGGCAAGGATCTGTTTCATTGTCTTCTGCTGTGATCATACCTGCGTATTCATTGTCTTAAGTTACATTCCTTTTATATTTCGTTTTACAGTGAGGACACTGCATTGATTTTTCTGAACTTACGTATGCAAAGATATGTTCTCTGAATTGATTTCACGACAGTAAAGGACACATTAAAATATTTATTATAGAAAATATATTGGGTCTGACAGGAATGAGGTGGAAAGAGCATGAGCATTTAGGTCATACCTGGATTCTGGATTTGTCTCTGCCACCTACCAGTTTTTTGAATTTAGGAAAGTTACTTCTGTAAGTCACGTTTCCTCATCTGCAAAACAGGGATAATAGCAACCTTTCAATAGGCACTGTGATTTATGCAGCTCCTAATATGTAGCAGATGCTCAGTAATTATTTCACCTTCATTCATTCAACTAATAATTATTGATCACCTACTCTGGGCAGGTATTAATATGGGTGCTGGTATATATAGCAACCAACAAAGAAAATCTCTGCACTAAGAGAGGTTACATGAGACAGGTGCAGTGGCTTATGCTCCTAACCCTACTGACTCAGGAAGCTGAGGCAGAAGGATCACTTGAGGCCAGGGGGTTGAGACCAGGTTGGGCAACACAGCAAGATCCTTTCTCTACAAAAATAAAAATAAAAAATTTTAGAAAGGTCATCTACAAGTGATAAGAAATCATTTTGTTCTCTGAATTTTAATACCATTTTTTCTTTTGAATTTCCTTTTATTTTTAGTTATTTCTTTGAGGCTGGGATGAGAAATTTAACAAATTTTTGCAACCTGTTGCATTAGCTGGTATTGGTGTAAATTTTATTCAGGTACATTCTCTTTTAATCATCAGTAGTTCTGCCCAAAGTGCCATGCACTTTATCTCATTGTTTGCCTAAATTGTTGACAGATTATTTATGCTTTAGTGCCATGTAGGTGTTTATACTTACTTAATCCTTACAGAGGAATCTAGCTAACAATGCAAGAGAAGTTCCTAGAGAAAATCCGCCTGTGGTTTTGGGGGTGATTCAGAGTACCCTTAGATTTCCCCTCATTACATCACCTCAATGACACAGGCAAGTTAGTGTTACAAGTATGATGGTTGGGGGGAACCAGGTTCTTTGTCTATCAGTTGGTTTTCTTTCCAAGATTATCAGCCATGGGTATCTGAAAGCTGTCATCTTTCACAAACTTAACTAAGAAGAGATACTCACTTCCAGAAATTACCACAAAGGAGAGTAAAGTTTAAAACTTGATATCTGCTCTTATAATTAAAATTTTCTGATCTTAAAATTCCTTGACCTCTCCCATTGCTTAGGCTTGTTGTCGGTTATTTTTTCTTCATAACCCTAACCCATGGCCATTTTGCTGGGGTCTGCTTGTCTCCTCCAGAGTTCTCTATATCATGTCTTCTTTCTTTGAGTTTCCACATCCCTGCAACTCCCTGTAGCTAGGCTCTCCTGGAAGAATCCCATAACATTCATGAATATAATATTTGCAGAGAAGCACCTGCCCATAATAATTGCAATCCTTGACAAACCTGCTTGAAGCTTGTGTCATTCTTCTGCTCTGAGATCAATGGGAGTAGACACTTAAGCATTTTCCATGCACTTGTCAGTTAAGATGACCCAGAAGAAAGTGACCCAGAGACATATTCCAGCTTCAGAGCTGCCAGCCATTCAGTGCAGCTGAGGTCTAGCCTCAGCACCCTCTTACAATGTTGTGTTTGGATTAACATTTTTCCATAATATGTTCCATGTTAGACATGTCCGTTGAAATTCTACACACATTGGCTGGGTGCGGTGCCTCATGCCTGTAATCCCAGCACTTTGGGAGGCTGAGGTGGGTGGATCACTTGAGGTCAGGAGTTCGAGACCAGCCTGGCCAACATGGTGAAACCTAGTCTTTGCTTAAAAAAAAAAAACATTAGCTGGGCATGATGGTGCGTGCCTGTAACCCCTGCTACTGAAGAGACTGAGGCAAAAGAATCACTTGAACCCAGGAGGCGGAGGTTGCAGTGAGCCGAGATTGTGCCAGTGCACTCCAACCTGGGTGACGGAGCGAGACTCCATCTGGAAAAAAAAAAGAGAAAATTCTACACAGACATACATATATACATATAATTCTGTCATCAACGACCCCTGTTGGAAAGTTACAAAACCCTTTGGCAAAGGGTCAAAAAGTGGTGTAGTAAAAAGGGACGTTTTAAACTTTGGTTAGATGATCATTTCACAGATGTATTTGACCATGGTTCTCCAAAAGCCTATTGGAATGTGGCACTTTGGGAGATACTGTGGTCGACCAGGTGTCAAACCTGTGCGCACCTGCTGCATTTTCTTCTCTGGCCTTTATTTTTTTTTTTTTTTCTCCCCTTGGCAAAAGATTCCTTGGCTCGGTTCCACCCCTTCCTTTTTCTCATTCCCTCTGGTGGGTTGTGTTCTGCTTTCATAGAGTGTAGATTGTCTTATTGTTAGGTGATTCTTCTAACATGCTTCTATTTGTGAAAATTCTGTCTTTAATTTCACTCAGGACAGTGCCAGTGTACCGCTAATGTTAGGAACTCAACAAAATGCTGCTGATAAGAGCCCATTTGTTCATGCAACAGGTATTTATTATGTGACTACCCCGCTAGACACTCTTTTTAGTATTCCTAACACATTAATGAGCAAAATGGACAAAGACTCCTGCCCCTGTGAAATTTATGTTTTAGGAATGCAGCCAAGTAGTAAATACTGGACAGAATAGGTTAAGAAAAAAATTTACAGAACATTAAACTAATATTCTTTTTCTTATAATTCCTCTTTTCTTGGTACCACATAGATCCAAGTTATTTTTGACTAAGGGTCTAGACTTTCATTTTTAGGCCTAGTAGACCATTATTCAGCACATCAAATCCATTTGTAGCTGTACTATCAGGACAACATAACAAGAAAACAAAAATGCTGATTATCTGTCATTTCTGTAGGGAATAAGTGGATGTAAAAATGAAAAGGAGGCAAGAAAAGGCAGCAAAAATCTGTAATGGGCAATGTGGTAATTATAGGTGGATAGTCAACCAAATTCAACAGCTGCATTAATTACATCTGAAGATGGTGGTGAAGATGCTTCTGCCAATCCATATTTCATTGTTTCTGATATCCTTAAGGGTACCTGAGTTCCTGAGTTCTGGAGGTAGGTTACATTTCTTGTTGGTTTCTTCTCCTGACCACTCTGTTTAGTAAGAAAGGAAACAAAAAAAAAGTCCTGCCACTTTGGAACTCCTGATGGTTTACCCCACCACCCTCTCTTCCTCGGTCACTGTCATGCACCAACCCCTACTCTCACTCAGTCATCTGAGACTCTGCCCATTGATTTGCAGTCATTCTTTTCCATCCAAACACCATAGCTATCCTGAGTGAATCCAACGTGTGAATGGCCCTTCCAACATTCCAACTTCTTACTGCTAATAATTTAAATTTCCAATGGATTCCTCTTCTGTGCACCCACCCCAACTCAGTGATATGTGCTCTCTATCATCTGAAACTGCTCCACCTCTACAGTCATTAATTTCAAGCATTCTACTTCGCATCTCAGGCTCCTTGTCTTCCAGCCTACTTGTTCAACTACTCCTGCAATGACTGTTCTTTAATCTCATCCACATGAATCCACTGAGAACTTCATTGTCTCCCAGTCAGGCTCGCACCTGGAATCCCAGCACTTTGGGAAGCTAAGGCAAGCAGATTGCCTGAGCTCAAGAGTTTGAGACCAGCCTGGGCAAAATGGCGAGACCACATCTTCTTTAAAAAAAAAAAAAAAAAGAATTAAAAGTAAATAAATGATAAATGCTATGGAGTGAGAGAACATTTATCTCAGAATCCACTGAGAACTTTATTCTCTCACAGTCGAGCGGTTTTTCTTACTTCACCTCTTCTCATAACAATCTTGTAAATAAATTCCATGACTGACTTATGCCATTTATCTTGTAAGACTCTTACGCCCTCTGTACTGTCACCTGTATATGGGCAGCTGAGCCATGCTGGAGAAGGTTGCAACAAATGGCAAATTAAATATCATTAAAATTCATCCTTCTTAAAACATGTCTCTGACATTGCTTAATAATTCTGTTACGTTTCTCTGATCAACTTGGTCCCTCAGTCTGCAGCATTCATTATTTATATATATATTTTGTTGTTTTACTCGCCATGTTGCTTAGGTTGGTCTTGAACTCCTGGGCTCAAGCAGTCTACTTGTCTTGGCCTCCCCAGGTGCTGGAATTCCAGGTGTGAGCCACCATGCCCAGCCGCATTTATTAAACGTGCTCTAGGCCTCTTCTTTTGTTCTCATTGACCTCTTATCTCATCCAGCTAATATTCTTTTTCTTTTTCACAGCCAAATTTCTTGAATGAAAACGTTTCCTGATTTGTTGCTTTCTCCACCCTTTTTTTGTTTTTGAAACCTCCCACTAACTACTTATTCTACTCCAAACTGGCTTCTACATCCTCGCCAGTTTATCAATCAAAATAGCTCTCAGTGAGGTCATCACTGAGATCTGTGCATGAAATTCATTGGGCAGTTTTTAATGTTTAACTTCCTAGTATTTGAAGCCAACTTTAACTTACTTGACGATTCCACCATTCTTTCTTCTATAACAGTTTTATTAAAATATAATTTACCTATCATAAAATCGACCCATTTAAAGTATAAAATACAATGGTCTTTAGCCTATCCAGAATTTTGCAAATATGACTGCAATCAATTTTAGTACATTTTTCACCATCCATACCCATTAGCAGTCTCTCCTCATCACTGTTGAGACTGTCAGCCCCAAGCGGCCATCAGCCTACTCTCTGTCTCTATGGATTTACCTATTGTGAATATTTCACACAAATGAGCTAATATGTGATCCTTGTGACTGGCTTCTTTCACTTAGCATAATGTTTTCAAGGTTTATCCATGGTGTTGCATGTGTTAGTACTTAATTCCTTCTTATTGTCAAACAGTATTCCATTGTATTGTTATACCACATTTTATTTGTCCATTAATTCATTGGTGAATATTTGTGTTGTTTCTACTTATTTGCTAGTATGAATAGTTCTGCCATGAATATTTGTTCACAAGTTTTTGTATGCACATGTGTTTTTATTTTTCTTGGGTACGTACCTAGGAGTGAAATTTAGTTCATATGGTAACTCTGTTTAACCATTTGAAGAACTATACAATGTTTTCCAAAGTGGCTGCACTATTTTACACTTTCACGAGCAATGTTTGTGGGTTCCGATTTCTCCACAGCCTTGCCTACACTCATTATTATCTGGCTTTTTGATTTGAGCCATCTTAGTAGATGTGGAGTCATATCTCATTTAGGTTTTGATTTGCATTTCCCTAACAACTAATGATGTTGGGAATCTTTTATGTGTTTATTGGCCATTTGTAAAACCTCTTTGAAGAAATGTCTATTCAGATTGTTTATTCATTCTTAAATTGGGTTGTGTTTTTATTGTTGCAGGAATTCTTTGTATAATCCATATACCTGTCCCTTATCAAAAATAAGATGTCCAAGAGATTTTTCCCATCCTCTGGGTTGCCTTTCACATTCTTGGTGGTATCTTTTGAACTACAAAAGTGTTAATTCTGATGATGTCCAACTTATCTGTCTTTCTTTCATTGCATGTGCTTTTGGTGCCATATCTAGAAACCATTGCTCAATCTCATAAAGATTTACTCTTATATTTTCTTATAGGAGATTTATAGTGTTAGTGATAAGGTTTGGCTGTGTCCCCACCCAAATCTCATCTTGAATTGTAGCTCCCATAATTCCCATGTGTTGTGGGAGGGACCTGGTGGGAGATAACTGAATTATGGGGGTGGATTCCCCCATACTGTTCTCTTGGTAGTGAGTAAGTCTCATGAGAGCTGACGATTATATAAGGGTAAACCCCTTTCACTTGGCTCTCATTTTCTCTCTTGCCTGCTGCCATGTAAGACATGCCTTTTGCCTTCTGCTATGATTATGAGGCTTCCCTAGCCATGTGGAACTGTGAGTCCATTAAACCTCTTTTTCTTTATAAATTACCCAGTCTTGGTTATGTCTTTATCAGCAGTATGAAAATGGACTAATACAGTTAGCTCTGTCATTTAGATATTTGAGTTAGTATTTGTATGTGATGTTGAGTAAGGGATGCCACGCATCTGGAAACCACATCCTCTGTCTTTCCTCCTGACCCTCTATATGGTCCCTCTCAGTCTTTATATTTTACATTTTTCTGTCTTTAAATGTTGTATTTTCTCAAAGACATGTCCTCATTTATCTTCTTTTCATGGATTCTCACTGAATATTGAGGACTGAGCATAAAAAAGACAGAACCTAAGTCCACATAACACAACATTTGGCTCATCAAGTAGTTTTAAATCAGATTTTAAAAATGATGCCAAGCAACTCAGGGGTGTTCCTGCTTAAAGTTATAATGTTTGCTTTTCTGAAATAAGGTAATACATTTAAAATGTTGAAGCAGCTGTCTCCTAGTGACTAGGAGCTCTGAAAAATTAGTCCAGAATTTCACTTTGGACTTATATTTTTCATGTTTTAGTTTTTAGGAAGTCAAGGAGAAAAAAACGGAGGAGAGAATATTTGATGAAGTCTTCCCCATCTGGGCCAGGTGCGGTGGCTCACACTTGTAATCCTAGCACTTGGGTAGGCTGAGGTGGGTAAATCACTTGAGCCGAGGGGTTTGAGACCAGCCTGGGCAGCATAGTGAAACCCTGTCTCTACAAAAAAAAAAAAAATTAGCCAGGCGTGGCAGTGCCTGCCTGTGATCCTAGGTGCTTGGGAGGTTGAGGTGGGAGGGCCACTTGAGCCCAGGAGGTAGAGGCTGTAGTGAGCCATGATAGTGCCACTGCACTCCAGCCTGGGTGACAGAGTGAGACCTTGGATCAACAAACAAACAACAACATAAAAGAAAAAAATATTCCCCATCTGATACTGTTCAAGCAAAGGGAAAGAATAGAAGTGTGGCCAGGGGGTGACAGATCCAAGGAGCCAGGAAAGGACAGTCCCAGGAAGGGACAGTCCCAGGAGGAAATGGGCTCAGAATAGTGGGTGCAGAGAGGAAACCACGGAGACAGCTTCTACCTGGAAGGGAAGGAGAGTCTGTATACGTGCAAAGAGAATCTCCTGGAACTAGGAAGTGCTTTGAAGAAAAGAATGGATTTTACTTTATGCCAGCCCCTAAGAGTCTTCTCAATGAAAGTCCTCAAAGAATAAGGGAATGACATTTGTGAAAAGCATTCTGAGGTTGCTCTGAAAAATATTTCCAGATAATTCCAAGATGCTACAAGCGATCATACTGACACAGTTTACAAATAGAGCAAACACCAAAGGATACAGTCGCATGCACAAAAACAGCTTATTTGTGACCTCAGGATTACCACAAAATTGAGCTGCATTTCTGGACTGTCACCTTCAGGTGGGCCAAGGTGGTTACAGATCACTTTGCAAGTAGAATTTGTAGCTTCCAGGATAGATTAGAGGATCATTCTGTCATAGGGCACCTATTATCTAAGTCTGTGGAAATGCCACCTTCTCTCACCCTTATATTGTATAGACTTTATTTAAGTTTTTTTTAAGCATAAGAGAAATTCTGTTCTTGTCACTGTAATTTGCTGGCTTTAGGGTAAGCAGCAACTGCTAGAGTGGCACAAGATACGGAGGTGGAGATTTTGAACTTTGGGAATTAAAAAGGAGACCATGCAAATGGGTGCTTGAGGTATGCTTCTGATGGAGTGGAGTGAGAAGCCCCTGAGAGGGGCTGGCTGCTGGCTGGAGAGAAGGCAGAAACATCAGCAGGATCATGAGGCATCGCGGCCAGGGCCTAACAAGGCCGCAAACTCATGATCAGGGACTGGCTGGAGGGCCCAGGGCCTCATGGCCTTGCTGCATAGCAGGCAACAGCTTCCCAGTGCTGCTGTGTTTCCTATAACTCCCCCTCTGTGGTCTCCCTAAAGTCCTCCCACACTCTCCAGCTGCTACACTGACAACGCGGCACAGTTGCTCTTTCCGGAAGCCCAGAACCTTCCCCAACCACTGTCCCTTCCAACTCGCCAGCATCACACCCTCTCCACATTACTTCTCACCCAGCCCCTGTGACCCTCTTCCCTTATCTCTCACCTTTGTTCAACTCAAGGATCAACACTGCAAATGTTGCCTCTTCTTTTCCTTGAATTTGAGTCTCTGGACCAAGAGTCCATAGCATCTCTCTATGGAAGGCAGGAGAAGGCTGGAAGGGCGGCTGTCAGGAGCTCAGAGCTTCCTTGACCTTCACATCTCTCCCTTAGCGGCCCCTGCTTCTGAGAAAAAAGGTAGTTAACCAGGACTTAGGTGGTCCGCTTTCTTCTCTACATTGCCTGCTAACTGGCTTTGTGAGGGCAGAAAAGTCACTAAGCTTATCTCCTTACTATTTACCTAGAAAATGCCCTAATTTTCTCTCTTTTTAAAAATTAAAAAAAACAAAAAACAAGCATTTTTGAGACAGAGCCTCACCCCAGGCTTGAGGGCAGTGGCGTGACTCTAGTTCACTACGGCCTCAAACTCCTGGGCTTAAGGGGTCCTCCTGCCTCAGTCCCCTGAGTAGCTGTGACTACAGGTGCATGCCACCATGTCTGACTAATTTTTAAATTTTTTTGTAGAGTCGTGGGTCTCACTATATGTTGCCCAGGCTGGTCTCAAACTCCTGGCCTCAATCCATACTCCTGCCTCAGCCTCCCATAGTGCTGGGATTGCAGATGTGAGCCACTGTGCTCAGCCATCAATGGTTTCCCAGTCCCAAGTTCTCCTTCTTCCACCCTCCCAGCATTATCTTGCTACTCAAGTGGCCATGCTGCAGAATGGTTCCCGCATTTGTGCTCGCTAACCTCCTAGCTAGTTTACTCATCTCCCTCTTATTCCATGGGTGGATGTGTTAGTCTGTTCTCACGCTGCTAATAAAGACATATTGAGACTTGGTAATTTATGAAGGAAAGAGGTTTAATTGATGCACAGTTCAGCATAGCTTAGGAGGCCTCAGTAAACTTACAATCATAGCGGAAGGGGAAGCAAACATGCCCTTCTGGACCTGGTGGCAGCAGGAGAAGTGCTGAGCAAAAGGGGGGAAAAGCCCCTTATAAAACCATCAGATCCCGTGAGAACTCACTATCAGGAGAACACCATTAGGATAATCACCCCATGATTAAATTATCTCCTAGCAGGTCTCTCCCACAACATGTGGGGATTATGGGAACTACAATTCAACGTGAGATTTGGCTGGGGACACAGCCAAACTGTATCAGTGGACTAATTTTTCTTTCTATTCCCTTCTCCCCTAGACCAGTCAGTCATTTTAGTAAGATTGTCTGACTGCCCACTATGGGCTAGACCTAATTTCTGGGTACACATTAATGAGCAAAATAGTTATATTTTTTCTTTTTTTTTTTTTTTTTTTTTTTTAAATTGAGACAGAGTCTCACTTTGTCATGTAGGCTGGAGTGCAGTGGCATGATCTCAACTCACTGCAACCTCTGTCTCCTGGGTTCAAGCAATTCTCCTGCCTCAGCCCCTGAGTAGCTGGGATTACAGGTGTGTGCCATGATGCCCGGGTAATTTTTGTAGTTTTAATTGAGATGAGGTTTTGCCATGTTGGCCAGGCTGGTCTTGAACTCCTGACCTCAAGTGATCTGCCCGCCTTGGCCTCCCAAAGTGCTGGCATTACAGGTGTGATCTGCCACGCCTGCCCTAAGATAGTTATATTTTCTGTTCTCACACAGCTTATAGACCAAAGTGAGTAAGACAGATGAGAAACAAGAAAAAAAGGTGCAAAATGATAAAACACAATAGAATAACACATTAGAAATCTTTCCTTATTCTCATATCTTTCTCTGAAGATCAGGCTTTGAAGTAAATTAGCCATAGACTTGAGACTCATAACTTTTGCTTCTTTAGATGCTCTAGTTGACCTTCTCATGGCTGTGGTCTTTGAAAGACTGTTCAAGATCAGAAACTGAAGACAAGGCTGAGCAGGATTGTGGACTTCTAGGTTTCTGGAATGTTGAAACCACATCATGTACAGGATATGGCTTAGAAATAGGTACAGGCCTACAATTCTGTGTATATATGTACATATACTTCAACATGCGTTAGTGAATAAGGCATTATATTTTGTCTTCCTGGTGCATACTTTTTTTTTTTTTTTTTGGCTGAGTGTCAGTCACTCTGTCATCCTGGCTGGAGTGCAGTGGCACCATCATTTCTCACTGCAGCCTCGACCTCTCAGGCTCAAGTGATCCTCCCACCTTAGCCTCCTAAGTAGCTGGGCTACAGGAGCACACCATTAAGCCTGGTGAATTTTTTAAAATTTTTTTGTGCAGGCAGGGTCTCACTATATTGCCTAGGCTGGTCTTAAACTCCTGGCTTTAAACAATCCTCCTGCCTCAGCCTCCCAAAGTGCTGGGACTGCAGGCGGAGCCACCGCAACAAGGTATTGAAAAGTTGAGACATAGCTTATCCATTGAAAACTTAACAGCACTCAGTAAGTCTTAGTTAAGAAGAAGACAGAAAATCAGGAGCGGTTGGAATCAAAAAGTGAGAGACAACACCCAAAGTCAGTTTAGGTTTACAGGCTCTTTGAATAGCTGGTTCTCACTCTTAAGTTATTCTGAATATCATAAAGCCTTGGCAAAGCCTGAACTTGGTCTTGGTTCTGCTTTCGTGTTATCAATAGCATGCAGTTTTAGAGGAAGGTTCCTGGGAAATGCCCTAGAAACTGGGGGCCTCTTTGAGGCAGGCAAATTTCTGGAAATTAGCAAGTATAATCTTGTTTTGTTGTCCCAAGCTGTTGAGGCTGGAGATTTTTAGTACAGAAATTATTTCCTTCTCCTCCTCCAAATCCCTGTACAGTATGTGTGGGACAGGCATCATTATCAGCTTCCCCTTGCATTTCACTGAGCATGGTTTAATAATTTCCCCAAGGTTACCACGTAGATGTGGAAGCTAAGCTTTCTTGTTTGACGTGCCATATACTGCAGATCATTCCAACTTTGGTAATGCCTCCCTAATAATTAAAAGGGTTTTAGGAAGGTGGACAGACCCCATGGAATTCAAGCTACAATATGCTTTTCCAAATTCTTCCACTGTGCTTTGCAATCAAATCAAGCTGCTGTTCATTTCAAGACCAAGGATGCAATGTTCTGGGATACAGTGTTCTCGGTCCTGTTCCCGGTGGATGAGTCTCTTTGGATCACAAATAGCACAGCTGATGCTAATGGTTGCTTATCATCCTGCAGCTTCTCAAATAGGCTGCAAAGTTGGCAGGAGAGCCCTTGGGCATGGAAACATAGGCTCTCAGATTGTATTAAAGCATCAAGAGCATATACTGTCGTAGCTTCAGACTTGTTCATATGTCTGAGCTCCTGAACGTTATGGGATGTGCAACCCTATGAAATACCAGCATGTGTGGTTATGCCAAGTGGACAAGTGGGACACAGAAATAGAACAATATAACATATGTGCTCTGTAAAATCATAGCCCACATGTCCACGAAAATAAACAAGCTGAGCCCGGTCAGTTTTCAGGTTTTTCATTAACTTTCACTCACTTATTGAATGATTTAATTGCATTGCCATTTGTTATCAGGTGAACAGTCATAAGCAACAAACAGTAAAGAAAATGTATGGAAGAAGAACTTAAATGAGAGAATTCTATGCACAAATTTGTTACATCTTTTTCCTTAAGTGAATCAGGAGAAGACCATTGTTACTTGATCATTCTGGAAGAATGTCACATTATAGCTCTCAGAAGATGTATTTCAGGAACCATAGCTGTTGGGTCAAGTATAAATAAATGTGACCTCAAGGTTTGTTGTAATATAAAGATGGGCCAGTTTGAACTTTTTCTTGTTTCTCTTAAGCTCTAAATGGTTTGCTAAAGTTCTAAATGGTTTGCTAATTGTGTTGATAACAAGAGCAAAAGGAAAAGTATTTTTTTCCCACTTTTTCCATGTGTTCTAAAAAAGGATAATTCTTAACCTGCTTGAGATTCTCAATTTTCCAAGCATTTTAGACAGCTACGGAGCTTGCCATTTGCAAGCTTGTCTGCCCAACATCTTACTTGCCTATTGCCAACCTTTGAAGAGATTGATCTTTGAAAAGACATACTAAGTGTTCCCATCTTCTCTTTCTTTCCTCTTTCTCTAATTCCTTTCACCTCTTCCCTTAGAGAAATCACTGCTCAAAACTTGGGTCTTCTCAGAAGACAGTATGAAGGCAACCTAGTTTTTTCAATTTTCTCAACACGTGTTGCAATTTAGATTTAAAACACAATTCATATTCATGTTACAACCTATCGATCTGGTAGCTGGAAAACATCCAAGGATGTACCGTCTAATTCATGCCAGTTATTAGATTGAGAACACTGTGAGGGCAGGCACCTGTGACTCACACATATTAGTTGTGGTGTCATTGTAAAATACTATTTTTTATTTATATATTTTTTAAAAATTGTGGCCCATGTTTCAGATACAGTATTTCACTGTTGCAACTACACCTTCTTTTTCTTCTTTATTTTATTTTTTGAGCTGGGGTCTCACTCTGTCACCCAGGCTGGAGTGCAGTGGTGTGATCTCATCTCACTGCAACCTCTGTCTCTTGGGCTCAAGCAGTCCTCCCTCCTCATCCTCCCAAGTAGCTGGGACCACAGACAGGTGCCATAACACCCAGCTAATTTTTTGTATTTTTCGTAGAGACAGAATTTTGCCATGTTGCCCAGGCTGGTCTCGAACTCCCGAGCTCAGGCAATCCACCCGCCTCGGCCTCCCAAAGTGCTGGAATTATAGGTGTGAGCTACTGCGCCCAGCCTAAAAATATTAATGAAAGAACGATAATGACAGCTGAAACTTACATAAGTACATGCTAGGCAGTCTTCTGAGCACTTGATACATCTTAACACTTGATTCTTACAGCAACCAGTGAAGTCAGTACTAATATTGTTCCTATTTACAAATGAGAAAATCCGGACATTCACTAAGAGGTTGAGTGACTTTCTGAAGGTCAGGAAGAGGGAAAGCTGGATTCTAGACCAGCTGTGTGGCGTTAGGCCCTGTGCCTTCACTGTCACCATCTCCATGCCTCTCAGTTCATGAAAATATAGCAGCACACTTTATGAGAAAATTTTATTTGATCTCAGCTCTTCCCCAACCCAGTACCCTATTTGCATGACATTTTTATACCTTTCCTAAAGCTTCTGCATATTTTACCTTATAATCAAGTTTTCAAATGACCGGGTTCTAAATTACGACATACCTTTGCATTTTTCCAAGAGCCATCCTTTGCATGACACATAAGTTAGGCCGGGTTTTTAGGAGTCTGATTTGGATGAAGTTGATGTCAGTGACTGACGGGATGAAGGCTTTTTGACCAGTCTATTTGGGATGTGGACAGCATTGCTTGTAGATTTTCAACTGGGTTATTCTCCACCCTCCAAAGCTTTGGTGGCATTTAAAAAAAGGCGATCAGCTTTAATGAGCAATTTTTATGACTACTTACATCCCTTTTTATTTAATTTGATAACTGTACTACAAAGCTATTACAGCTGATGCTTTATCAAAAAATACCACAGTACTAGACCTTAAAATCCCCAAACAAACGAAACCTCAATAATTCTTTGTTGCTTTAGAGACTTCTCTGATTTATTTCCCAATAATAATTAAAACTGTTGGAAAGCTCAAAAAATACTTAATGGGATTACAAATTTACTCATCCTCTAATATGGATGTCCAAAGACAATATAGCTCCTAGATTTCTCCAGACCAGTTTCTCATCAAGTGTCTACATCTTGAGTAAACAGGAAAAGAAGTCTTAGTTTAATCTGAATCACAGCAAGACAAGATAATTTTATCTGTTTTGGGGGCCTTAACTCGATTCTTTGGACAACTGCTCTGTGTTTCAGATTGCTCTACCTTGTCGCCCTCCTTTCCAAGATGGCAGCCAAAGCATGGGAGGGGCCACAGGCTTTCTGGAGTTGGGAGGGGAGCGTGTGGTGACCGATGCGAACGGAGCTCAACTGAAGCTTGCCTCAGCCAGTTCTGATCCTAGGGAGCCTATTGATAGCTGTTGTTGACATCTATGGTGGATAAACTCATTCGTAGTCTATGCTTTTCTAGTGTCTCTGGACCCTGGAGGATCCGCCCTAATGACTTGGCTTCCCCTTAGCCTTCATGGGTTTTGAAGACTCCTCTGAGTCACTGCCACATCTGTCATCTGCCCCTGGCTCATGTCCACCACCCCAAAGGCTTTGCTGTGAGGCCACCCTACGTGGACCATACTAGGCTCAAGAATAGGTTCTTTAGCTTTCACCTTAATCCTGAGACAAATGAGAAGCAAGGAATGATTAGTAAATTCAATCTTCAGTTTTTCTAGCCATGTTCATTTAAGTATGTTGGGGCTTCTGAAATGAGCTTAGAACCCTCTCTGATCCCAATGTTCCCCACAAAGAAGGAACTGGAAAGAAGCCCTTCTGGTCTCCATGTCCCTTTCAACCAATCTAACCGGCCCCCTCTTGGTGCCTAGGCTTCAAGCCCTGCACTGCAGATAGCAACACAGGCATCCAACTGCCTCCCACTCTTAACTCTGTAATTCCTTGATACGGTTTGCCTGTGTCCCCACCTAAATCTCATCTTGAATTGTAGCTCCCATAATCTCCGCATGTTGCGCATGTTGTGGGAGGGATGTGGTGAGTGATAATTGAATCATGGGAGCAGTTTCCCCCACACTATTCTCGTGGTAGTGAATAACTCTCACGGGATCTGATGTTTTTATAAGGGGTTTCCCCTTTCACTTGACTCTCATTCTCTCTTGCCTGCTGCCATGATTGTGAGACCTCCCCAGCCATGTGGAACTGTTAGTCCATTCAACCTCTTTTTCTTTATAAATTATCTAGTCTCGGTTATGTCTTTATCAGCAGTGTGAAAACAAACTGGTATACTCCTCTTTCCCCCACAAACAACCGGGGTCGGGGGAGCAGACATGTTTACCTTCCTCTTTTGTCATGAGTGGGATTATCCTATAAATTGTGTCCTTCCGCTTCCAAGGTTACATCTTCCTCTCTCCATCCCTGAAACTGAAGAGATGGACTTACGTGGGAAAGAGAGATACCAGCCTCCTGAAAAGGGAATGTGAAGATAGAGATAATTAAAAATAATGCTCTAGTTATAAATCTGTCTTAGCTAATGGTGGCCTTAAAGTATTATTTTTCACGAGTCATTACAATCAATTACCTTGATTCTGAAAATATACGGAAACTGGTGAAAATGGTCATTATTTTAAAACTTTTAGAAAAATATGGCTTTATGATTTTAATTACAAAACGTTAATCTTGGTATGATTTATGGCACCTAAGTTGTAGGATGTTAAAATTATAGGAAAGAACTAATATTTATTGAATGCTCACTATTCTCTAGATACCTCCAGATAGTTTATATATTATTTAATGCTCATAAGAAACTTACAATCAAACTTTTCATACAAATTTATATGTTAGCATCTGTAAAATTTTTAAATAATTCCCTAATGAGGCCACCACTGAGAAAACAAATGAGCAAGCTCAAAGAACATTTTAGGAACAAGGATTTAAAAAGACAGAAAAGGAATCACTAAGTACAATTGCTAGGTTACAGACACAATTAATTAACTTTCTATATCTTATTAATTTCAGAGGTTAACATTTAAGTTTTCTGGGTTGGAATCACCTATGTTTTTATTGGTTGTGGCTTATTAGTGCAATATTTGGTGAGAAGAAACTTACATTTTTAGCAGTGTTATCAGAAAACGCTCAAACATAATACAAAAATAAAAAGCTCACCATTTTGCTGGTTTTGAGTTTGAAATAATATTTTATTTCAGACTATCCTATGAGTTGGTTAATGATCTCCTTAATTTATCCGTAAGGAAACAAGCTCAATAAAGACAAATAACTTGATTAAGGACACACAGTTAGCTCCTGTTGTGATATAATTTATGGATCTCCAGCCTTTCAGCATGTCTTTAGGAAGAGTGTTTTGTTCTGGACCATCTTTTCAGACATCTCTTTGTAGTAAGGTGCCTTGGGTTCAGAGATAATGTCTCCCTCTAGAGCAAACAGTGGACACTTTGTTTGCTGCCTATTATAAAAGATGGGGGTTTCCTAAACTCGGGGTTCCTCTCCTGCAACTCAACCGACTGCATCAGCAGGTATTACCTGGCCCTTGTTGTGTTGTCCTGTAGGAACTGGGAGTCAAGGAAAGAAACAAGAAAGTGATAATACTGTGGCTATTGCTATTGCAGTGGGTAAAATGCCCTTTGTCTCTGGCCCAGGAGTCTTAGGTCTTCTGCCTGCATCCTTGAAATTACAGCACGTTAAGTTGTTAGCTTGAATGTAGGGTAACATTTTGGACTCTTCACAGTTTCTGATATCTTTCAGGAATTCTCGGCCTGCTGTCTTCTCCTTATGACACAAAATTGACCATTCTTTCAGGATGGGCTACTCATTACCATGCCTCTGCAAACTGTCCCTTTTCCCATCTACATCACTGGCTTCCCTTTAGGAGAAAAATGATATAATTCATAAAGATCTTAAAAACTGATAATACTTATTGCACTATTTTGGTGATTTTAGTGATTTTTAAGCAAGAATGCATAAAGAGAATGCTTTCTTCTAACTGGAATATGCAGGAGGATAGAAAAAAAGGAGGAAAGCCTTATTTTAGCAAAGGCTCTCTAGATCACCCTAAGTCTTGTAAATCATATTGCATAGGTGTTAGAATAAAAACAAGATATTATTGGTATCTAGTCCTTACCCTCCTAGGCCCAGTGATTTTTCTGACACATCAGTTGAAGTACTTTATAGCCATAATGAAACCTTTTGGTGGCTCCCCACCACTTCTGGATAAAATCCAAACTTTTTGCTTGGCATACGAGGTTCTTGGGAATCTGCCATCCTCTTCCCTTATCTTTCCCTGATTCACATCTAGACTCACCACGCTGAACCACAGACTGTTCCTTAAACCCGTTAAGCCCCTTTATGGCTCTGTGCTTTTTGTGGAGATGCTCCTTCCTCTTCTTTAACTGGCCTATTTCTTACTTACCTTTTAGACAAACTCTTGGAAGGCTTCACTGGGTATGGGTTCCTCCTCTCTGACTCCATTGAGTCCAGCAGTAACTTCCACAATAGCTCTTGCTTTGCCATCAAGTTGCTGAACTGCAGCATTTCCCAACTTGAGTTTCCCAAAGGTGGTTCAGTGTTAAATTCGGTAGTGGTGTCTAGACAGTGGTAAGATAATTATTTAATGTGTCACATAGTAAAAAAATTCAACCCTTTCTTCTCTTTAAAATAGACTCACTGGAGAGTTTCCAAATGCAGATTGATGATTATGAGGGGCAGTTATTGAAGATCTGGAAACCATGACCTGGAGTCAGTAATGCCAGTGGTTTTTCAATCCAGCTGAGCCCTGCTACGCACTTTGTGGTGGTAAATGACCATTATACAGCTTAGGCTCATGTGTGTGCTTTTGAATTATAGGTCATATATTGATTAATTTAAATCTATAATAAGCTTGATGAATTCTGTGAAATACAAGGAAACCGGGTTTTGTAATCCAATAAATTAATAGGGACATAGAAAGGATGCGAAGTCTCTAAATTCACCTCAATATGAACTTCACGAGAGCCATTAGTCACATGATCAAATGTCTTATGTTGACCTTCAAGATAAAACCAGTGCTTCAAAACCCAATATAAAAAGAAGCCATATTGATGATTATTTCCAATTTGAATTTTTATTTTTTGGGGATTAAGACTTTCCCCTCACAAGCTGTTGCTTGCAGAAATGCACTTGCAAATAAGAATCTGAAACCTGTTTTTTTTTAAAAGTACAGAATGCAAAAATACCAAATATCAGATGCCGCAAACAATTTTTGCTTTTTAAAATAGTGCTTAATGTGTATTTAAATTTTAATTTACATTTTAATATATATTTAATCCCCAAACCAAACATGTCATAATTAAATTCATGTGTTGACAGATTATGCTTTTTCTTATAAAATTTAAAATAAAATGAAACAATCGTGACATGTGTTAAATGGAAAACAAGTCAAAATTTATCTGTACTTGGCTTGAATATTACGAACACTCTTTCCCCAGATGTCCATATGATTCACAGAATCATTTACTTCAGATCTGTATATAAAAGTCACATTTTCAAGGAGGTCCTTCCTGGCCACTCAGTTTTATTGATTGATTGATTGAGACAGGGTCTTGCTTTCTTGTCCAGGCTGGAGTATGGTGGCACGATCTCAGTTCACTGCAACCTCTGCTTCCTGGGTTCAAGCGATTCTCCTGCCTCAGCCTCCCCCGTAGCTGGGACTACAGGCATGCACCACCACGCCTGGCTAATTCTGCTTGTATTTTTAGTAGAGATGGGGTTTCACCATGTTGCCCAGGCTGGTCTCAAACTCCTGATCTTAGGTGATCTGCCCACCTTGGCCTCCCAAAGTGCTGGGACTACAGGCATGAGCCACTGCACCCAGCCACATTCAGTTTTAAACTGGAACGCATTACCTAACACCCCTTTGCCCCATCTTCCTTCCATGGTGTAGTTTCTCCTTAATATAACTTTTCACTCTCTTACATACTATAGATATTTCCAAAAAAAACTATATTTATTATCACTAGAATGTAAGATCCATGAGGGCGTGGATCCTGGTCTACCATATGCACTATTATATTCACAGTGTCTACGACAGTGCCTGACTCTTAGAAGGTATTCAATAAATAATTTTGAAAAAAATTACAATCTTACAATAAATTTTTTTAATGTATTGGTCTAGAGGAAAACATTTTCTACTTAGATACATTTATATATCATATGCCATTTTAAACATTTTTTTACGTGTTAACATTTTTACAGGGCTTTGCAATGTTATATATTACTTTCATAATACATCAAATGGAAAAAAATGCTAGGAAAAGGGCTCCATTGTAATTTTGGTTCGGTGTAACTAGACTGTGAGTTTCTGTGGTCAATGATCTTTAAAAATTTTTTTTTCTCTCTCTTGTGTGCTAGAACATAGCATATAGCTGGTGCTCAAAAATAGTTTGATTGAAAAAATAAAGTTTAAATAAAGTTTCAGAGGGAGACCAACACAAGTCAGTGTGAAAATGAAGTCTCGGGACACACACAGATGCAACCATTCCATAATACATTGACTGTAAGTCTCATATCTTGCATGTAACTATCTCTTTGTCTACAGACCATTCATCTGTCGCTTCCTCAGGCTCCTCTTGCCTCTTTCCCATTCACTTCAACACTACAGTCCCAATGTCACTTAGCGAGATGGTTGTGGGAAGATTGGCCTGTTGCAGACAGGAGAAGCTACTGGATTGGTAGGAGGTAGGAGGTGGTGGTTAGTGGAGGTATTAAGACAGCTGGGGTAGATGAGAACAGAAATAAAATGGAAATTGAACAGAAATGGAATGGAAAGTGATAAGAAATGGTTCTTTTTTGGATAGGGAAATTATATAACTTGTACTGATCTCAGAGTGAAGACAGGAAAATGACTGTAATTGTCTTGAGTCCATAGCAATTACACTGTTGAGGGTTAGGTCATGAGTCACTGTACCACTCGCATCTCTTTTAGCTACCCAGGATATAACTCATATTATTCTCGAATAAAGGAAAAGACTGCGGTGCTCTTATATCTTTCTGAGAACACCTATGGTATAGAGGTTAAGAACACTTACATCATGGGTCATGAGGTTTGGGCTTGAAAAGGAAAATGAAAAGTCTTGGGGGCCAATGACTGTTTCACCTTTAGACATCGGGTAGGTCAAGACTTTGTGTCTTGGAACTGGTTTTGTACCTCCAGCGTCTTCCAACATTCCCACCACAGAGCTGTAGTACAGGTTCTATTCGAATTTGAAGAATCCAATTTTGAGATTCCAGCACATAAATAGTGAATTATAGACGATCATCATACTATTTATTTTCTTAGCCAATCTGTTTTTCACAAGATTTCTTCCACAACCTTTGCTATACATTTGTTTCTGCCCCAACTGGTCATGCTGAAAATACAAGGGCATGCATCCTAATTTTTTTTGAAAAAATCTTCAGTGCTGGCTACCTTCTTTGTATAAATAACTTGCATGCACAATGCTTTTTCTCCAGATTCTCAAGGAGCATTGTGAGGGGGTAATTAAAGCAGTCTGTTTCTCCAGCACGTTCTGTCTGTTTTTTCTTTTCATTATTAGATGTGATGACACATTTGCCTGTGTGGCTTCCCACAGATGGCAGAGAAATTTTGTGATCAAATGGTAAGAGTAAACCAACTGTCATCTCAGATCACAGCTTCTATGTTGTTCCCCCTGTGCAGGAGTCTCACTTTAATAAAATGCTTGCTTCTTTTAAAGTGGTATTACCTGCTATGCAAAAGATTTTAGAATTAAATGGAAAACTTCACAAGAACAACCAAAAATGTAAACTGCTAGCTAGTTTTATATCCTGTGTTTTGAATCTGATACAAAAGAGAATTAATTAATCTCTGCACAGAAAAGCTAATGATTAAGTTAATTTAACTCCATGATTTTGTTTATAAGAAAGGCAGAAATAAAAGAGTTTGGGTTTTTCTTGAATCTTTGTGAATTGATAAGGAAATACTGTGAATTATCTTTTGTAGCCTTTATGTTTGGTTCTAAATTTATCTGTATTATTCATAGGCACAAATACCTAGACCCTTAAGACAATTTTTTTTTTTTTTGGTCTGCAAAAAATCTAAATAGAAAAAGAGATCTCCAGCAGATGAAGAACTTTATTAAAGTGGCAATTTTAGTATGTATTAAATAAGGCTTAAAAATTAGCTTTCACCTTCAGAGGTAAAGACAGGGAGGACTCCATATGTGTCATTTGGAATATAAGAAATATGGTGGAAACTCACTGCTGCCTCTTGGTTGATGTTTTTCTTTTGTGTAGGGGCCAAAGGGGTAAGTGAAACAGAAGACATCAAAGACCTGATTTAGCAGGACAGCCTCGGGAAATAGATTGGGTTGGAACAGTAATGTGGAAAAAGTAGAAGGCAAATGCTGCCTGTCTGAGTGGGGAAGAGAAGGGCTATGGAGCTGGGGAGGCTAGGGGAAGTCATCCAAAGCTGGGAGGAGACCCACAAGCGTTCACATCCATGTCTATGGTGGGTGCTGTGAAGTAAGTAAAGCTCAGGAGAAGCCTGGAAGGATTGAGTTCATGAAGCATGAGACTGAGAATTATATCAAACAGTCATGAGTAACAGTGGAAGTTAAGAATAGTGGAGTCAGTTGTTGAAACAAAGGTCATATTTACACCGTATGCTGGGATTCACCAAATCCCATCTGCGATGTCCAACAATTCCTTTAATTCCTCCGAGTCTCAGTTCCTGTATATGTAAGCCCAAGGTTTGCATTAGATAGGCTATCAGATAACTCCAGCAATCCAGCTCTAGAAATCATTATTGAACCTTGATTGTATATTTGTTTTAATCTTCCTATCTCATCTGTTATGAGCAATTGTTATAACAACTGAGAAAAATTTGATATGATGATTGGGTTAAGATAATAGCTATTCATTTTTAAATCAAATGACAGTTTCAGCCCTTAGGTTGAACAATGGTGGGGCCCTTGGACAGCTAGAGTTGAAAAATAAGTGTAGTGGTTATCCATTGTCTTGAGTTTAGAATATTCCAGGTTCACATCTTAACTGTATACTATCTCTGTGATATTGAGAAACTAACCTGTCTAACCTTTACTTTTCTCACCTATAAATAGAAGAAATCTCATTACCTGGATCATGAGGTTATTATGAAGATTAAATGCAGGAACATAGGCCTGGTTCATAATAAATATTCATTATTTCAATGAATTCTTAGAGTAGAATATCCCTTGAATTTGTATTATTCATTATATATTTGAATTTAGATTTTGTATTTGTTTTAATCTTTCCACAAAATTTACTATAAGCCTGATTTTACTAAGAGCAATCTGCTATGATGGTCAGGTAAAAATATCCTTATGCAAAGGCAGTGGTCCATTGTGTTTAGTTCATGTGGCCTAGTCACAGCCCTTAACCTGACTGAATCTGTTTCTTGCCTTAGCTTCACTATGTTTAAGATACAAGCAGTCACTCAACACTTCCAAACCATTTATTGCCTATTTATAACAAACATCCTGGCTGTTTTGTTGGTGTTAGCAAAGAATACCTAACTATTTCCGTGAACTACAACTTCTGTAAAAGAGATGCTTTTAAATAATTAAGCACTAACTATGGGAGAAAGATACAGAGTCTCACTCTATCGCCCAGGCTGGAGTGCAGTGGTGTGATCTTTGCTCACTGCAACCTCTGCCTCCTGGGTTTAAGCGATTCTCGTGCGTCAGCCTTCTGGGTAGCTGGGACCACAGGCACATGCCACCATACCTGGGTAATTTTTGTATTTTTATTAGAGACAGGGTCTCGCCACATTTGCCAGGCTGGTTTCAAGCTCCTGGCCTCAAGTGATCAGCTTGCCTTGGCCTCCCAAAGTGCTGAGGATTACAGGCATGAGCCACCTCACCAGGCGGAGAATAGTCTTTTCAACAATAGGCCAAAGATAATTGTCTATTCATAAAGAATAAAGCTGGACCCCTACCTCACCGTATATAAATATTAACAAAAAGTAGATCTCCTATGAAAATATAATAGCTAAAATTACAAAAGTCTTAAGACACAGGCATACATTTGCATGATCTTGGATTAAGGAATGGTTTCTCAGATAGGATACTGAAAGCGTAAGCAAAAAACAAAAATAATAAGTCAGACTTTGTCAAAATAGAACATTTGGTGTTTCAAAAGATACTGTCTTTAAAGTGAAACAACATCCCACAGAACGGGAGAGAATATTTGTAAATCACATATCTAGTAAGGAATTGTATCTAGAATATATAAAGAACTCTAATGCCTCAATAACAAGACAAATAACACAATTTTTAAAATGGGGCAAGGTATCTGAATAGATATGGCCAAAAAGCACATGGGAAGAGTGCATAACATCACTGGCCCTTAGGGAAATGCAAATCAAAACCATCATAAAATACCCAAAGCAAAATAAATCATTCAACCAAAAAGATACAAGCATCTCTATGTCAATCACTGTATTATTCACAATAGCAAAGACACCTAGGTGCCCATCAATGGTGAACTGGATAAAGAAAATGTGGTACATATACACCATGGAATACTATGCAGTCATAAAAAAGAACAAAATCATGTCCCTTGCAGCAACGTGGACGCAGCTGGAGGCCATTATCCTAAGTGAATTAACGCTGGAACAGAAAACCAAATACCCCATGTTCTGACTTATAAGTGGAAGCTAAACATTGGGTACTCATGGACATAAAGATGGCAGTAATAGATGCCGGGGACTAATAGAAGGAGGTGGAGGGCAGGGACAAGGGTTGAAAAACGATTGGGTACTATGCTCAGTACCTAGCTGATAGGATCAATCATACTCCAAACCTTAGCATCATGCAATATACACCTGTAACAAACCTGCATATGTTACCCAAGAGTCTAAAATAAATGTTGACATTTTAAAAGACTGGTTTTCATATAGCCCAATCCTAATTCTAAAGATTCTGTACATAATAATTTACCTTATTGTCAATACTGAAGGTCCTGTGTACATAGGAGATCTGTGTTGAGAAGCTACCTTTCGCTTTGGTAAGGTCATTGACAGATGGGCCCTCTGTGGACACAACAACCCAGTCATCTCAGGGTTGAGTAAGACTTGGGGTATTTTACTTTCTCTCCTGAAAAAGTTTAGTCTGGATTCTAACTCCTAATTCAGCCTAAAGTGAACTGATCTTTGATTTAAAGCCATTCCATTCTCTTCTCTCTACTGAATGGCTTCAGAGCCATAATTGCTTTCACTAGTCAGGGATATGCACCAGAAAGAAGGCTTCTGGCTTGCAGAGTTGATTGTGTTGCAGAGTTGGTAGGCAGAATATTCAACCCCCAAAGTTGTCCTTATCCTAATCTCCCACATCTGCAAATATCTCACCTTAATGGCAAAAGAGACTTTGTAGGTGCCATTACATTAGCTACCTTGAAATGGGAGGAGGATCCTGGTTTATTTGGGTGGATCCAATGTGATCATGAGGATTTCTAGAGTGTCAGAGTCAGGAATAGAGATTTAAAGATGCCACACTGAC
Source organism: Homo sapiens (assembly GCF_000001405.40). Classification (NCBI taxonomy): domain Eukaryota; kingdom Metazoa; phylum Chordata; class Mammalia; order Primates; family Hominidae; genus Homo; species Homo sapiens. The sequence continues at coordinate 16,267,811 of NC_000010.11, read as the reverse complement.
CGAGCACTGTGGCTCATGCCTATAATCCTAGCACTTTGGGAGGCTGAGGCAGGTGGATCACTTGAGGTCAGGAGTTTAAGACCAGCCTGGCCAACATGGTGAGACCTCATCTTTACTAAAAATATAAAAATTAGCTAAGAGTAGTGGAGGGCACCTGTAATCCCAGCTACTCAGGAGGCTGAGGCAGGACGATCACTTGAACTCACGAGGCGGAGGTTACACTCAGCAGATTGTGCCACTGCACTCCAGACTGGGCAACAGATTGAGACTGAGTCTCAAAAAATACAATAAAATTAAATAAAATTGAAAAGATGCCATGCTGTTGGCTTTGAAGGTGGTGGAAGAGGCCACAAGACAAGGAATGTAGGCAGCCTGTAGACACTGAAAAACCGAAGGAAGTGAATGAATTATCCTTGAAACGCTCCAGGAGGAACATAGCCCTGCTGACACCTTGATTAGTCTAGTGAGATACCTGGCTATAGAATTATAAGGTGATAGGTTTGTGCTGTTTTAAGCCACTAAGTCTGTGGTAATGTGTTAAAGCTACAGGAGAAAACTAATGCAACATTCTCCTTCATTTCAAAGCCTATTCTCTCTCCATGTGGCAGATTCAGCGTTATCTCTATGCTAACATGATACGTAGCAACATTAATGAAGGAATAAGTGGTAGACCCAGACACCCTTCCTACTCTGTTGTGTATGTGCTCACACACTCTTACCCACACATATACATGCTAATCTCTGCAGATTTCCATTAATGTTTTTAAAATTTACTTTTTGTAGAGAATGAGGTCTTGCTCTGCTGGCCAGGCTGGTCTTGAATTCCTGGGCTGTGTCTGCCTCCCTAAGTGCTAGGGGAATACAGGAATGAGTAAAATAAAATTTTATAGATATGGGGGGTCTCACTATATTGCCCAGGCTGGTCTTGAACTCCTAGCCTCAAGCAGTCCTCCCAAAGCTTGGGTATTATTGGTACGAGCTGCTGTGCCCCATCTGCAGATTTCCATTTTTAAGATGCTTCGGGAATTCTCGCAGGCCAGTAGTGACTTCAAGTTTGTTGTACACTCACCTAAGCTTGGAGGAGTTTGCAAGCAGTGCCTTAATTTGTGAGGAACTCAACATTTTAGGATGCTTTTTTGATACATAGGTAACCTTTCCTCCAAGCAGTTCAGACAGTGTCCTTCGCAATTATCCCTCATGGGCCTTTCATTTGAACTCTAGGCTTAAAAGCTTTGTCTAAGGAGACTCCATAGCTTCCAACTTCATGTGACAATCCAGAGAGGTCTCTGGAAGGTCCGGGGCAAGAGCTCAGTGTCACACTGGGGTATGTCTGGGAATCCTCAAATGGGTCCTTCAGCCATGGATGGAAAATTCTGTCAGTCTTGAGTTCTCACATTTCCAGAAGTTGAAGTAGAAAATCAAAGTATCAAAAGGAAAGAAATGAACATAGATCGAATGAGAGCTCCTTTGGGGACAAAAAGGTAGAAAAACCCTTTCAAAGGACTAATTAATGGTTTTCAGATACATATGGTTAAGGGAGCCCTGAGAAGAACAGAGAGTCTGTTTGCCATGGGTTCTTTAGCCAATATGGCGGCATTGAGGGGAAGAACATGAGATCAGCCGGAATGTTTTGCCCTGAATACAAGAGACTGCCTTGTAGGTTCTCCCTATTGACAGACAAATACTCACATTCCCTGGATCTGGTTGCCTAAAATACCAAGCAAAATTAGGTGGTTCCTGGCTGTATTTACACTGATATGGAATTTTAGGTATGATGGGGCGTTCAACACATTTTTCCAAAAAGAGACCAACTCAATTACTTCATCAGGATTTCATCCCTTGATATCATAAAATAGCAGTGGTATTCATCATAATTCAAGCTTTACCTAAAGGAATTTTTATGTGGGGGCTAGGAAAAAAAAACTCATGAATTTTTAGTTTATTTTCTCAGGATGTGATTTAACTCTTCTATTGCTTTATATTTAGAGTATTCCTTATGGGTTACCAGAAGAACATATGCTTCCTTGTTAATGCAAGTCAACAGAGGCTTCTTTTGAAGTTACCCATCATGCATAATGCTAAAAACCCTAATCTGAAGTGTCAATTTTACATGATGCTATTGGTTCGTTTTATTATGCAATGAAACCAAATAAAAGGAATTACTTGCAAAGTCATAGAAAACAGTTTCTTTAAAAAAACATGTTGTTATTGGCAAAAGCACTGTAATTTTTAGAAAGAATTCATTTTTTAAATGAGAAAACACAAAGTTCTTTTAAAAATCTCCATAGTTTTAAACTTTGTAGATAATTTCAGTCCACTTTGCCTATGGTATACCGTAATTTGTGTTGAGTTGAATGCCTAACAGTTACTCTCAGTAAAAAGAATTTTGCTGTATGATATCCTGATATCGTCTATGGTTTTCTCTTTTTGCAGGTTTTGTTCACAACTAATCAAATTCCCTTTTTTTTTGATCGTTTAAAAATAACAACAACAAAAAAAAACCCACTTGATATTCCATATATAAACATTTAGTTTTTTCTTTTTTTTTTTTTTTTTGGCCGGACTCAGAACAAAAGGACACCATGGAATGAAACTGTTTCCAAATGCACAGTTGGCTGAAAATTTTTCGTTTTATTTCAGTTTTAGTTTTTGCTTTTTGCTGTATCCTGTAATGTTGTCTACCGTGAATGCAAACATCTACTAAGAAAAATGAACCTCTTTTCCCCAGAATAGTAGTTCCTTGTTGTCATCCATGTAACAGGTGTTGAGGATTCGGGGAGGGGAAATAGTGTTTGGTCAAGGCTCCAGAATTTACTGAAAATGGGATTCATAAGGCACACAGTGCTTCCTAGGAACATCCCCTTAGCCTCACCCTTACTCCTCTCTCTCCCTTCATATCATTCCTCTTTCTCTTCTCACTCTAACGCTTACAATAAAAATGAACATAGATTTTATTTTTATTATTTTTTGGAAGAATCTTAAGGACAATCAAAGCAGTAGATTTTGTTATTTTTTAAACTTTTATTTTAGATTCAGGGATATATGTGCAGGTATGTCATATAGGTAAACTTATGTCACCGGGGCTTGTTTTACAGATTATTTTGTCACCTAGGCACTAAGACTAGCACCCAATAGTTACTTTTTCTGATTCTCTTCCTTCTCTCACCCTCCACCCTCAAACAGTCCCCACTGTCTGTTATTCCCCTCTTTGTGTCCATGAGTCCTCATCATTTAGCTCCCACTTGTAAGTGAGAGCATATACTATTTGGTTTTCTGTTCCTGTGTCACTTTGCTAGGGAATGGCTTCCAGCTCCATCCATGTTTCCGCAAAAGACATGATCTCATTCTTTTTTTTCGAGTTGGAGTCTTGCTCTGTCACCTAGGCTAGAGTACAGTGGCAGGATCTCGGCTCACTGCAACCTTCGCCTCCTGGATTCAAGCAATTCTCCTGCCTCAGCCTCTTGAGTAGCTGAGATTACAGGCACCTACCACCATGCCCGGCTAATTTTTGTATTTTTAGTAGAGACGGGGTTTCACCATGTTGGCCAGGCTGGTCTTGAACTCCTGACCTTGTGATCCGCCCACCTTGGCCTCCCAAAATGCCGGGATTATAGGCGTGAGCCACAGCGCCCAGCCAGATCTCATTCTTTTTTATGACTGCATAGTGTTCCATGGTGTGTATCTACCACATTGTCTTTATCCAGTCTGTCACTGATGGACTTTTAGGTTGATTGCATGTCTTTGCTATTGTGAATAGTGCTGTATTAAAAATATGCGTGCATGTGTCTTTATGATAGAATCATTTATATTCCTTTGTTTATATACCCAGTAATGGGATTGGGCTGGGTCAAATGGTCATTCTGTTTTTTGCACTTTGAGGGATTGCCACACAAAACAGTAGGTTTTAAATGAAATGTCCTTTTCAAGAGATTGGGCTTTATCATCAAGATTATTTCTTGCTTTTTTTTTTTCTCAGAAAGATCTAGTATGATAATGCTGATGGCAATGATTGTAATTTCGATGTATTGAATGCTTGTTAGGCACCAGGCATTCTAGGTGCTCCTTAGACATTATCTCATATCTTACACTATCTCCTCAAGAAACTTATGCTATAGGTGATATTACTATCTCTGTTTTACAAATGGGTCAGAGAGATTAAGTAATATGCTAAAGGTTGTGTAGCTATGTTGCATCATAATTGAGATCTGAACCCAAGTGGGTGGTTTTAACTACCTAGGGGCAGGGGTTCTAGTTTCTGGTTTTATCGCTAAGGTATAATGATTACTTGAACTATTTTAGGCCTCACAGTCATCAGCTGTGCAATATTGGGATTGGACAGATAAGTGACCAAATAGCAACCCATGCACTGGGGATATGCTTGGTTCACAGATTTTTATTGTTGCTTTTTAACATTCAAAATATTCTAAAAGTTTTTAAGTAGTTGCATTTTTTTTAATCAAAAAAGTTTTCACAGAAATCTGGATTCCTGGATTTTCATGAAAAATCAGAATCTCTGTCATCCCTCACCTTCATTCTATCTTGGCAACAATTGGCTGCAACTAAGTAGGATGGATCCCTTACAGGAGATGGCGCTTTCCTGTTCACCGTTGTCCCCACCTAGAATCTTCCCTCATTTAGGCTGTTTCCCTGATTTCTGTAGACATTTGAGTTTTGGCTCCAGGATGAGCTGATTCTCAGTGGGCATTCAGTTTTCAGTTCAGTGATTCTATATCCATACTGCAAGTTTAATTTTTTAGTAAACTTTCCTGTTACATAAACATGGCCTCAGAGTACAATAATTAGGAATCTCTTTGGAATTTTATATTATACGTTTATAGAACTAGACATAGAATGTATCCTAAATTTCTTTCCAAGGAAATACAAGAGCTACAACGTGCGAGTTTCTGCCAAGGATTACTAAGAGCGGATCACACACAAGTTATGCAGTATCTTAGCAGCCACATTAAATTGAAGTGAAAACGTTGTAGATGACATTAGTGCAATGCCAAGCACTTTTTGTAAGAATATTTTTCTTTCTACCTGGGCAGTGGGTGAATGACATGCAGAATCTGAATAGTGGAATTTTTTGTTTATTTTCTAATTGATGCGTTTGTTAAGATGAGTCTTTCCCGTTGGCTATCACGGAGGCTATTAGTGAAGATGCTTGTAGGAAAGGCAATAGGATTTGTTTCTTTCTTTATAAAATATTTTATAATCTTGTAAAATTTCCCTTCTAGCATTAATTTAAATATGATGCCTATTTTTTTTAAGCCGGCAGACTCATTTCTATAGTCATGCCATATATATATATATATATATATATTTTTTTTTTTTTCCTAACGAGATAAAACAAAATTAAATATGCACAAAAATTGCACCAGGTCAAAGCACGTGACACGATGGTCTTGTTTCCATCACACACAGAAACAAACAGCTTGTTTTAATAATCAAATACGTTTCCTAAGGGTCTTGTTAAATTGCTGAATGTAAATTGCAATTGGAATTGACTATTAAAGATCTTGGTAGAGTAGGTTAAACATCTGTTCAATTTATTACAATTTTATTTGTACTTCAGCTGTAACTGGGGCAATTAAGCCAATCAGAGCAAGCAAATCAAATCTAATTTACACTGTAATGGACTAAAAATGAATGAATAAACATTGCACTACCAAATCCAAATGATTAAATATGTCTCCAAGGATTTTTTTTTCTATTTCAGTATACAAGATCATGGTATTTATACTATAATTAACCATTTAAGAATGATGAAACAAATTGGAACATCTCTTCATTTTTTTATATGTTTTTTATAAAATTGCCAAATAGCATTCAAGAATATAATAAATTAGAATCCTTCTTAACTTAGACATGTTTACTTATAAAATCAATTTAATTCAAGTTCATGCTTCATTTGAATGCTGGAATTTAAATGGGACATATAGATGCTAATTTTTTTAAATAAATTTTTATATATTCAGTTTTTTGCCTTAGCCATGGACCGTAATAGGAAGATTAATAATGGATTTAGTATGATGAGTTAAAACTTTATTCATCTTTGCAAGGTGCGTGCAATTTAGAACTTGACAATGCAGAAATGTAACATGCAGTACAGTATTTAGGTAAAGCAAGCTAACATACATCTCACTCAGAGCCCAGTGTCACTAAAACTGCTAAGAAACTATAAACAGTGGCATGCATCCCCCAGAACAGGTCAAGCCTCACACAATAGAAACTATGTTTTGGATGGAGATGGGGCAAAACTTCCATCAATGTTCTGGGGGCTGCTATCATTTTAGTTCAGCAAACACCAAACAAAATATTATTTATAACATGCAGTGGTTTGATCATTGATTGAGTAACTACTACATAATAATGTACCGGACAAAGTGTTAAGCTCTTTCATATGCTGCTTAGGTTACTTGGCAAGTTAAAATTTTCTCGGTTTGTTTAATTTTTGGAAGGCATAAATTTTTAACACTCTCCTCCTGATCCTTCAGTAAGCTCACTGGTACCATTTGAATAATTTAATTGGGGACCAGAAGTCTTGGGCAGATGCCGTTTGGTCTATCCTTTTGCCTCTGAGGTCTGATGAAAGCAAACTCAGGAATGTCTGTTTCCTCAAAGGAAAGATGTAACAATTGCCTTTGGCCATGTGTCTTAGAACACACTGAGTCTGGTTCATCTCAACCAAAATCCATCAAATCAAGGAAGCCACGGTCACCTAGGCCATTGCTAATGCACTTCACATGTACCTTTCTCTCTTTCTTCATGTGCTCTTTGGTGTGCCTGGGAAACATTTTTTTTTAAACTAACCATTTTCTTCTGTCACTGGATCTTTGCTACATGCTTTCTGTAATCTGCAAATAAAGCCATAATTATTTATTAAGAAGCTGTTGCTTGTGCTGGGTCCTATGACTTTAGGAAATACATTTTGTTATGTCTGGGTAAATTCCTTCGCTTATCCTCCATCTCCCTCCCTGCCTCCCTCCCTCCCTCCATTCCTTCCTTCCTTTCCTAGCTCCATTCATTCCTTCCTTTTCTCCTTCCCTCCCTCCTTCCCTCCCTCCTTCCTTCCTTTCCTCCTTCCCACCCTCCATTCCTTTTTTCCTTCTCTCCCTCTATTCTTTCCTTCCTTTGCTCCTTCTCTCCCTCCCTCCTTCCCTCCCTCCATTCCTTCCTTCCTTTTCTCCCTCCCTCTTCCTTTCTTCCTTCCCTCCCTCCATTTCTTTCTTCCTTCCTTCCCTTCTTCCTTCCCTCCCTCCCTCCATTTCTTTCTTCCTTCCTTCCCTCCATTCCTTCCTTCCTTTCCTCCTTCCCTTCCCCCTTCCTTTCCTCCCTTCCCCCTCTCTCTCTCTCCCTTCCCCCTCTCTCTCTCTCCCTTCCCCCTCCCTCTCTCCCTCCCTTCCTTCCTACCTTCCTACCTTCTCCCTCCCTTCCCTTCTACCTTCTCCCTCCCTTCCTCTCTTCATTCTTTCTTTTCTTTCTTACTGCCTAAAATCTTTTTGAGATGCTACTGGTATTAGGTGCTAGGTGGACCCTATGGATGCAGTGATAATCAAGAAAGACATGTCCTCTGACCCCATACAGCTACTGAAGAAAAAAAAGGAGTAATCCAATATTCATAAGATGAATGTGAAAATGAAATCTTGAGAACAATTACAAAGTTGAGGTAAGGATAGGAAGAGCACATAGAATATAATAGAGGCTTTTTGCCCAGTTAGGTTAGGAAAGGCTTTCTGATGAAGTACCTGTTAAGCTAAGATAGAAAGGTTGAAATTGGCATTAAACAGGTGGAGGAGGAAGAAAGAGGGATGCAGGCAGAGGAGACAAGCATGTACACATATCCTGAGCTGGATGGAGTCTGATGCTTGAGAGACACTGACAGATGGCCAGGACTGAGGGAGCCCGTGGGTGAGCTGAAGCTTCCCAGAGACATAGGGAGGGGACAGAATTTATAGGATCTGTAAACTGTGCTAAGGAAGATTGTCTTTATCTTAGAAACATGATAGACTATTGAAGAGATTTAAGCAGAAGTTAAATTAGTTCTCTCCTCTGCAAAACAAGAGTGACTCTAAGTTGACTAGTTGGGAGAAGACAATAGAATTCAGTCATGAGAAGATGCTAGCTGAATTTAGGATGGGTAGTAATTAAGAGTAGTGGACAGGGGGTGGTGGCTTATGCCCATAACCCCAGCACTTTGGGGAGTTGAGGCAGGAGGATCACTTGAGGCCAGGAGTTTGAGACCAGCCTGGACAACATGGTGAGACCCTGTCTTCACAATAATTTTTTTTTTTAATGAGGCAGGAGGATTACTTGAGCCCAGGAGGTCAAGGCTGCAGTGAGCTATGATACTCCACCGCACTCCAGGCTGGGTGACAGAGTGAGTCCCTGTCAAAAAAACAAACAAACAAACAAAAAAACGGATTCAAGAGGCACATGGGTATATGTGTTGGTTTTAAGTTATACATTGTATTAGACACTTAATGTCTACCATTTGTTTTTAACCATATCCCCAATAAATAACAAAGTTCCCAAACACAAGGATCCTCTTTTCTTCCTCTTCCAGTTTCTCCAGCTTTATCTTCCTTTGCTGCCATTTCTACTACACAGTGGAACTCAATTTAACTTAGAGAAAAAAAAATAGCCGAAGCCAAACCTTTTAACTCTGATTCTTCTTTTCAGTTGAGTGGCCTATTTCCCACCCCCTGGTGTTGGTGGAGTAGCTGTGGAACAGTGAGAGAAGGAGAGATGAGGACTTGAACATATTTGGAATATGACCAAGATGTCTTTACCTTTATTGAGTCCTGACGAAATCTGGCTGTTATAAATCCTGACTGAATCCCATGATGTTTTCCAAGCAAATGGGACCACTTTGTAAGAAGCAGAAGCGTCCTCTCACCATGTGCAAGAGGAGGAGGTGTAAATGGAGAGAAGCCACCAGCATTTTCAGAAAGCCACATGATGTAACAGCCCCACTGCACCGCCTCATTTGTGCTGGAAAATTTTAAATAAGAGAAATAGAATTCTGTTCCATTAGCATTGCAACAAGTATGTTAGCATAATAAACTTGGTACCAGGGTGGCATTCAGCTCCATTTTACATGCCCTTCTGTCTCACCTTTCCTTGCCAATGCCATTGAAGTCCTAATGGAAAGACAGCCTTTGAAAGAACCCTGCTGGCTTTTTGGCTGCCTGTTGGCAACAGAGGAGAATAGGAGGATGGGAATATGCATTTGTAAAGTTCCACTTGCTTATCTTACTTAGGGACAGCATTTTATCCTTTCAAGCTCATCTCCCAGCCACTGTAATTAGGCTTTCCAGAAACAGTCTTGCTGCTGTCTTGACATCACAATAGCATTTTGATGAGCTTGGACAGTTACCAGTTCATCCGTCTGGCAAGATATTGCTGCATTTCCAAAGATTTCACTGTATCGTTGTGGATGCCATTAATTCCCAGAAGGGAAAGAGAAATATTTTTACAACAATATGCAAAGAAGTCATTCAAGAGCAGGCTTATGGCGTTAAAACTTTTGTCTTCAAACCTAGCAGCAAGTCTTCTCATATTGAGTCATTTACTTACAAGGGCATAAATGAGCGCACAGTTCTTTCATTGATGAGCAGGCAAGGGAAAACATAATCAGAGAAAGAGAGGGGGTGATAAAGAGAGGTACATGGACAAAAAGCAAGAGGGAGAGAGATGTCTTGAGTCGAAAGCTTCTTGAGGTCAGGATTCAGGTTTTCACTCTGGTTCTTCTTTTGAACAGGATGGTGCATGTGATCATGTTGATACTGGGGCAACCTGTCCCATTTGAGCATTAGTGATTTTGCAGTCAGACTTAAAGCGTCTATTATGCATCACGGTCTCCTATAACGTATCTTGAACTCGACACCAGAACTGTCCAGTGCCATGCTTTCAGGAGACTTTTGTGTAGGTGGAACAAGTCTGTCCATATAAGACTGCTGGTGCTGATGCAAGTGTTCTATTATGTGCCATCAAAGCGCTGGAAATGGGGCTAGTGCAACTGAGAAACTGAATTTTTAATTAAAAAAATCTTTTTTAGTGATGGAGTCTTGCTCTGTTGTGCATGCAGGCTGGAGTGCAGTGACACCATCATAGCTTACTGCACCCTTGAACGTCTGGGCTGAAGTGATTCTCCTGCTTCCACTTCTCAAGCGGCTGGGACTACACAGTCATGCACCACTACACCTGGGTAACTTCTAAATTTTTTGTACAGATGGGAGTCTCACTGTGTTGCCCAGACTGGTCTGGAACTTCTAGCCTCAGGCATTTCTCCCAACTTGACCTCCCAAAGTTCTGGGATTACAGGTGTAAGCCACTGTACCCAGTGATCTTTAATTTTTTCATGTTAAGTAATTAGATAGTGCTATGGAGGGCTGAGGGTATCTACTGTAGGTATTCATGTAGCATCTCACCCTAAAAGAGAAATGTGCAACAACCTCCTTCCACCCCAAGGATAGAAGAGAATTCTTCTGAGATCACTAACTCAACACTTTGAAATGAATCTCAATCCCTCAAGTAGGAGAAAAGGGCACATGAGTAATAGAATAATGCCCCATGCCTTGGGCTAAAGACATGTGCCTATTATTTATGCCTATCCATTTCTTTTTCAAAATCTAGTCATCGCAAATATTTCTAGCATCACTGTGGAAGTGGAAATGATAGCTTTTGCTTTTGATTAGCACCTGGAACCATCACAGTGCCCAGTTGCTAGCTCAAAGACGCCTGCTCAACAGATTCGATGCCTATTCTAGAAGGAAGCTTTTAAGTTTTCTTGAAATAAAATCCAAGTATCTTTGCTATGAGACATGATTTCCGGATGCTGGGAGCAGGGAAAGACTGTTGTCCCCTTCTATTTGCAATTGTTTGATTGCCTTTAACAACCATCAGAAGGTAAGAAAGATCCTTTTTGGCTTGAGCCAGAAACAGGTTATCCTGTGTTCTTTGAAAAACTTTTACTGATTTCTACTGCCATCATTGTCACCTCATGGAGGCATTAACAATTGGAATTGCGGTTATCTAGGGGCAGCTTTTGCTCCCTGGCCCCTGTGTATATCAGTAAAATTGGGGTGTGGGCAATTGGTAAAGGCAGATTTGGCCTGATGAGTCTATTGCAGCTGCCTGAGTAGAAATGCCAATGCAAAGCTGAGCTGCTAATTGGAAATGGAATAAACTAAAATCTTGGTTCAAATGGCAGCTATATTTTTTAAAGAAAAGATTTCAGTTGAAATGCCAAAGGAGACAGTTAGCCAAAACATTTGTCTATGGAAATTTCTCTTCTCATTTTTACTCAGATTTACAGCTGGGTGTTAAGCGAAGCATTTCTTGAGAACACATGTCACGGATAAACCAAGATGTTTATTTTCCTAAGTAGCAGATCAGATTGAACTCACAACAAATAGTTCAATTAGTATGATTACTAAGAGGCTGATTAATTCGGGCTGCAATAAATGAAATAGGGTGTGTTAGAACTGGGGTCCTAGGAAGGCCATGTCAACAAGATTATGTTATTAGCTGGGCAAAGCAGCTGCAGTACATTTTAAGTTTTTTTATTTTTATTTTTATGTTTATTTTTTTTTTTTTGAGCCGGAGTAGTCTCACTCTGTCGCCCAGGCTGGAGTGCAGTGGCACGATCTTTGCTCACTGCAACCTGCGCCTTCCAGGTTCACACCATCCTCCTGCCTCAGCCGCCCAAGTAGCTGGGACTACAAGCGTGTGCCAACACACCCGGCTAATTTTTGTATTTTTAGTAGAGACTGGGTTTCACTATGTTCGTCAGCCTGGTCTCGAACTCCTGACCTCGTGATCTGCCCACCTCAGCCTCCCAAAGTGCTGGGATTACAGGTGTGAGCCACCGTGCCTGGCCACATTTTAAGTTTTTTATGGACTGTCAGGGTGAAAGGGTGAGAAAGAGATCAAAAATGTGCCTACGCGTTCTGCAAAACTGTAATTTTTTAAATACATCGCGCATGTTATTTTTCTACAGCTCTTCTACAGGGACTCATGGGCTAAGTTCTACATTCTTTGAATTTATTGTCGGAAAAATGCTCACCTCACCTGGTGAGCTGGTAAGATTCCTTGTATCAGGCATCAGGGGCTACACATCTCATTTTAGTGTCTCTTTTGCCCAGGATTCCTGAAAACTCAGAGGTGAATTCACTACTCAAATACATTATTGTCCTTGGCTTCTATTCCCGCTACATCCCACCTAGCTAGGAGTGGCTCCAGAGATATTGGAAGTCAGTGGGAATTTTAGCTGTCTCCTTTCTAACAGTAATCTTAAACAAATTAGTTTCCTTTCTGAGCCCTAACTTCCTTATGTGTAAAGTGGGTTACTAATTTTTGTTTCATATGCATTTTATGTGTAAAGTGGGTTACTAATTTTTGTTTCATATGCATTTGGCCATAGTGCTGGTTCATAGGAAACACTCAAAACGCTAATTATTGAAATTTAAATTATTCTTTTGATCTACAACTTATTGTAAATTGTCTTAAGTTGTATTTGGAGGCAAGTATGGAATTGAAGAGAGAATCAAAATATGATTTGAGGGTAGTTATTTCATAGGCTAACCCAAGATGGGTACGCTGACGTTGCCTTTTGTCTATAGTTCCTTCAAAAGGTAAAATTTATATGTGGTGAAATGTACAGATCTTAAGTATACAATTCAATGAGTTTTGACAAATGCATATTCTCATGTAACCCAGGCTTTTTTTTCCCTTCTAACTTTTGTTTTAGGTTCAGAGGGTACATGTGCAGGTTTGTTACATGGGTTAATTGTGTGTCACTGCGCTTTGGGTGTACAGATTATTCCATCACACAGACATAGTGCCTGATAGGTTGTTTTTTGGCCCTAGCCCTCCTCCCACCCTCCACTCTCAAGTATGTCCCAGTGTCTATTGTTCCCTTGTTTGTGTCCATGTGTACTCAAGATTTAACTCACACTTATAATGAAAACGTGCTATGTGGGTTTCTATGCCTGCATTAGTTTTCTTGGGAGATTGGCTTCCAGTTGAATCCATGTTGCTGCAAATAACATGATTTCTTTCTTTTTTATGGGTGTGTAGTATTCCATGGTGTGTATGTATTATATTTTCTTTATTCAGTTCGCCTCTGATGGGCATGTAGTTTGATTCTATATATTTGCTATTGTGAACAGTGCTGCAGTAAACATACATGTCCATATCTCTTTATGGTAGAAGAATTTATATTCCTTTGGGTATACCCCCACAAGTGGGATTGCTGGGTCAAATGGTAGCTCTGTTTTAAGTTCTTTGAGAAATTGCCAAACTGCTTTCCACAGTGGCTGAACTAATTTATACTGTCACCTGCAGTATACGAATGTTCCCTGTTCTCTGCAACATGGCCAGCATTTTTTTTTTTTTAATTTTTAATAGTAGCCATTCTGACTGGCAGGAGATGGTATTCATTGTGGTTTTGATTTGCATTTCTCTAATAATTAGTGATGTTGAGTGTTCTCATATGCTTGTTGGCCACTTGTATGTTTTCTTTTGAGAAGTATCTGTTTATGTTCTTTGCCTATTTTTGTTTGTTTGTTTGTTTGTTTGAGAGGGAGTCTCGCTCTGTCGCCCAGGCTGGAGTGCAATGGCGCCATCTCGGCTCACTGCAAGCTCCGCCTCCTGGGTTCATGCCATTCTCCTGCCTCAGCCTCCCAAGTAGCTGGGACTACAGGCACCCGCCACCACGCCCGGCTAATTTTTTGTATTTTTAGTAGAGACGGGGTTTCACTGTGTTAGCCAGGATGGTCTCGATCTCCTGACCTCATGATCCACTCGCCTCAGCCTCCCAAAGTGCTGGGATTACAAGCATGAGCCACCACGCCTGGCCTTGCCCATTTTTTTTTAAATGGGGTTACTTGGGTTTTTTTCTTGCTGATTTGTTTAAGTTCCTTACAGATCGTGGATTTTAGACCTTTGTTGGAAGGATAGGTTGCAAATATTTTCTCCCATTCTTAGGTTATCTATTTACCGTGTTGATAGTTTGTTTTGCTGTGCAGAAGCTCTTTGGTTTAATTAGGTTCCACTTAACAATTTTTTTTTGTTGTTGCAATTGCTTTTGGAGTCTTTGTCATGAAATCTTTGCCAGGGCCTATGTCCAGAATGGTGTTTCCTAGGTTTTCTTCTAGGGTTTTTAATAGTTTTAGGTTTTACAGGTAAGTCTTTAATCCACCTTAAATTGATTTTTGTGTATGGTAAAAGGAAAGGGTCCAGTTTCAGTCTTCTGCATATGGCTAGCCAGTTATCCCAGCGCCATTTATTGAGCAGGGAGTCCTTTTCTCATTGCTTGTTTTTGTTGATTTTGTTGAAGATCAGATGGTTGTAGGTATGTGGCTTGATTTCTGCATTCTCTAACCTGTTCCATTGGTCTACGTGTCTGCTTTTGTACCAGTACCATGCTGTTTTAGTTGCTGTAGCCTTAGAGTATAGTTTAAAGTTGGGTAGTGTGATGCCTCCAGCTTTCTTCTTTTTGCTTAGGATTGCTTTGGCTATTCAGGCTCTTTTTTTGTTCCATATGAATTTTAGAATAGGTTTTTTTCTAATTCTATAAAAAATGACATTGGTAGTTTGATAGAAGTGGCATTGAATCTATAAATTGCTTTGAGCAGTATGGCCATTTTAACAATATCGATTCTCCCTATGCACGAGCATGAAATGTTTTTCCATTTGTGTCATCTCTGATTTCTTTCAATGGTATTGTGCAGTTCTCACTGTAGATGTCCTTCACCTCTCTGGTTAGCTGTATTCCTAGGTATTTTATTCTTTTTGTGTCATTGGGTTTGGGGTACATATTAGTACATCACCCAGACAGTGAGCATAGTGCCTGATAGGTGTGAATAGAATTGCATTCTTGATTTGGTACTGAGCTTGGATGTTATTGGTATATAGAAATGCTACTGATTTTTATAGATTGATTTTGTATGTTGAAACTTTGCTGAAGTTGTTTATCAGATCTAGGAGCCTCTGGGCAGAGATTACAGGGTTTTCTAGATGCACAATCATATTGACTGCAAAGACAGATAGTTTGACTTCCTCTCTTCCTATTTGGATGCCTTTTCTTTCTTTCTCTTGCCTGATTGCTCTTGCTAGGGCTTCCATAACCCATACTTCTATTAAGATATAGAACATTTCTGTCACCTAAGACATTTTTCTCCAGTCCTTCCCAGTCAACCCCTCTTTACCTAGAGACAAAACTTTTCTAAATCATTTTGTTATAGATTCCTTTGGCCTGTTTTAAAATGTCACATAAATGGAATCATATAGTATGATGTAATACTCTTTTGTGTCTGGATTCTTTGGCTCAGCATGATATCTTTAGATTCACCCATGTTGCTGGAAATGCAAGTAGTTCACTTCTTTTCAATATTAAGCTGTATTCCTTTGTATGAAGACATCGCAAATGTTCATGAACATTTGATTGTTTTCACCTCTGGCCATTATGAATAAAGCTGCTATTCTATCTCCATTGAATTGTCTTAGCTCTTTTCTCAAAAATTTATATTTGTGGGTCTATGTATGCACTGTCTATGTTGTTGCATTTATCTATGTGTCTCCTCTTTCACTAATACTACACTGTTTTGATTACTGTAGGTTTATAATCAGTCTTGAAATTGAAGTATTGTGAGTCTTCCAACTTTGTTCTTCTTCTTAAGATTGTGTTGGCTATTTTAAGTAGTTGATGTTCCATATATATTTTAGAATCAATTTGTTGATGTCTGCAAAATAGCCTGCTCAGACTGTGATGGAGATTGAGCTGAATTTATAGATCAAGTTGGAAAAAAATTACAACTTTACAATACTCAGTCTTCAATCCATGAACAAAGAACATCCATTTACTTAAATCTTCTTTGTTTTATTCATCAGAGTTTTATAGTTTCTGCTTATTGATCTTGTAGATATTTTGTTAGATTTGTACATAAATATTTCATTTTTTGGTACTATTGTAAATGAGATCGTGTTTTTATTCTCAATTCAAACTGTTAATTGCTGGTATATAAGAAAACCATTGAGTTTTATGTATTAATCTAGTATCCTAAGACCATGTTATAATCACTTATTACGTCTAGACTATTTTCTTTGGATTTTTTACACTTTTTCCAATTATGGCATCTGTGAGCAAAGATAGTTTTATCCTTCTGAGTCTGTATATTTTTTGTTTTCTTGGGTTTTTTGTTTGTTTTTGTTTGAGAGATGATGCCATACTGTGTTGTCCAGGCTGGTCTCAATCTCCTGGGCTCAAGTAGTCCTCCCATTTCAGTCTCTGTAGTAGCTGGAGCTACAGGCATGCACCATGGTGCCTGGCTGATTCTCCATATTCTAAAATTTTTATTTCTTGTCTTATTGCACAGGTAGGACTTCCAGTACAATACAGAATAGAAGTGGTGAGGGGGGACATCTTTGTATTATTCTGATCTTAGCGAGAAAGCATCCAATTTCTCATCAGTAGGTTTGATGTGTATAGATTCTGTATAGGTGTTCCCTGTCAAGTGGAGTAAATTTCTCTCTATTCTTAGTTAGAGAATTTTATTATGAATGAGTGTTGGATTTTATATAATGCTTTTTCTTTGCTAATTGATGTGATCATTTGCTTTTTCTTCTTTAGGCTATTGATGTGGTAAATTACACTGATTGATTTCCAAATGTTGAACCAACCTTGCTTACACGAAATAAATCACAATTGGTCATGGTGTATAATTATTTTATACATTATAGGTTCTGTTTGTTAATTTTTTTAGTATTTTTATGTTTATACCTATAAGAGATACTGGTTTGTAGTTTTCCTTTCTTGTATTTTTTTTTTTGAAGGGGGCCTGCCCCTCCATACCTGTGGGTATTTCTCACAAGGTGAAGATGAGAGACTGCGAAAAGAAATAAGACACAGAGACAAAGCATAGAGGAAGAAAAGTGGGCCCAGGGGACTGGTGCTCAGCAAGTAAGGACCTGTACCAGCACTAGTCTCTGAGTTCCCTCAGTATTTATTGATCACTATCTCTACTATCTTGGCAAGGGAGATGTGGCAGGACTATAGGTTAATGGTGGCGAGAGGGTCAGCAGGAAAACATGTGAACAAAGGACTCTGTGTCAAAAATAAGTTTAAGGAAAGGTGCTGTGCCTGGATGTGCACATAGGCCAGATTTATGTTTAACTTTACACAAACATCTCAATGCAGTAAAGAGCAGTATTGTCTCCAGCATGTCTCACCTCCAGCCATAAGGCAGTTTTCTCCTATCTCAGTTAATAGAATGTATGATCGGGTTTTACACCGAGACATTCCATTCCCAGGGATGAGCAAGAGACAGATGCCTTCCTCTTATCTCAACTGCAAAGAGGCCTTCCTCTTTCACTAATCTTCCTCAGCACAGACCCTTTATGTGTGTCGGGCTGGGGGAAGGTCAGGGCTTTCCCTTCCCATGAGGCCATATCTCAGGCTCTCTCGGTGGGGAGAAACCTTGGACAATACCCAGGCTTTCTTGGGCAGAGGTCCCTGCGGCCTTCCGCAGTGCATTGTGTCCCTGGGTACTCGAGAATGCAGAATGGCAATGACTTTTACCAAGCATACTGCCTGCAAACACATTTTTAACAAAGCACATCCTGCCCAGCCCTAAATCCATTAATCCTGGAGTCAATATAGCACATGTTTCTGCAAGCACAGGGTTGGGGCTAGGGTTACAGATTAACAGCATCTCAAGGCAGAAGAATTTTTCTTAGTACAGATCAAAATGGAGTTTCTTATGTCTTCCTTTTTCTACATAGACACAGTAGCAGTCTGATCTCTCTTTCCCCCACTTTTTTTTTTTTTTTTTTCTGAGACAGGGTCTCCCCAGGGCTGAAGTGCAGTGGCGTGATTACAGGTCACTGCAGCCTTGACCTCCTGGGCTCAAGTGATCCACCTCAGCCTCCCAAGTATCTGGGACTACAGGTGTGTGCCACCATGTCCAGTTAATTTTTTTATTTTTTATTTTTTTTGTAGAGGCAGGGGCTCACTATGTTGCCCAGGCTGGTCTTGAACTCCTGGCTTCAAGCAATCATCCTGCCCTGGCCTCCAGAAGTGCTGGGATTACAGGCATGAACCACCATGTCTGGCCCTTTCTTGTTCTGTTTTTATTTGGTTTTGGTATTAGGGTAATTTTGGCCTCATAGAGTAAATTAGGAAGTGTTCCTCCTGCTTCTAGTTTCTGGAAGGGATTGTGAAGAATTAGTTTGGTATAATTTCTTTCATAAATGTGGGGTAGAATTTACCAGTGAACCCATATGGGTATGGTACTATTTTTTAAGGTATTAATTATTAGCTTTTTTACTAGATATAAGGGATTCATGTTTTTCTCCGTGTGTGTGTGTTTTTTTCAACTTTGATTTTGTATTCAGGGGGTACACATGCAGTTTTGTTACCTCGGTATACTGTGTAATGCTCAGGTTTGAGGTACGAATGATCCCATCACCTAGGTACTGAGCATGGTACCCAATAGGTAGCTTTTCAACCCTTGATCCCATCCTCCCTCCCCTTCTAGTAGTCTCCAGTGTCTGTTATTCCTATCTTCATGTTCATGAATACTCACTGTTTAGCTCCCATGCATAAGTGAGAACATGCAATATTTGGTTTTCTGTTCCTGTGGTAAGTTGCTTAGGATAATGGCCTTCAGCTGCATCCATGTTGCTGCAAAGGATATAATTTTTTATGACTCTGTAGTATTCTATAGTGTACATGTACAATCTTTTCTTAATTCTTTCCACCATTGATGGGCATCCAGTTGATTCCGTATCTTTGCTATCATGACAGTGCTGCAGTGAACACACAAATGCATGTGTCTTAATGGTAGAATGATTTGTTTTGTTTTAGATATATACTAAGTAGTGGGATTGCTGGATCAAATGGTAGTTTATGTTGTAAGTTCGTTGATAAATCTCTAAACTCCTTTCCCCACCGGCTAATTTACATTCCTACCAACAGTGTATAAGGGTTCCATTTTCTGTTCAGCCTTACTGGCATCCATTGGTTTTTGACTTTTTAATAATAGCTGTTCTGACTGATATGGATGCTGTCTCATTGTGGTTTTGATTTGCGTTTCTCTGATGATGAGCAATGTTGAGCTTTTTTTCATAATGTTTGTTGGCCGCTTGTATGTCTTCTTTTGAGAGCTATCTGTTCATGTCCTTTGCCCATTTTTTAATGGGGTTATTTGTTTTTGCTGATTTGTTTAAGTTCCTATAGATTCTGGATATTAGACCTTTGTTGGAGGGACAGTTTGCAAATATTTTCTCCCGTTCTTAGGTTGTCTGTTTACTCTGTTGTTAGTTTCTTTTAATGTGTAGAAGCTCTTTGGTTTAGTTAGGTTCGGCTTACAATTTTTGTTTTTCTTGCAATTGCTTTTGGAGTCTTAGTCATAAAATCTTTGCCAGAGCCTTTGTCCAGGATGGTGTTTTCCTAGGTTTACTTCCAAGATTCTTACAGTTTTAGGTCTTACTTTTAAATCTTTAATCCATCTTGAGTTAATTTTTATATATGGTAAAAGGTAGAAGTCCAGTTTCAGTCTTTTGCATGTGGCTAACCAACTATCCCAACACCATTTATTAAATGGGGAGTTCTTTCCCCATTTTTTATTTTTGTCAACTTTGTCAAAGACTAGATAGCTGTAGGTGTGTGGCTTTATTTCTGTGTTCTCTAACGTGTTTGTCTATATGTCTGTTTTTGTACCAGCATCAAGCTATTTTGGTTACTGTAGCCCTGTAGTATAGCTTGAAATTGGGTACTGTGATGCCTCCGGCTTTGGTTTTTTTTTTTTTTTTTTTTTTTTTTTTTTTGCTTAGGATTGCTTTGGTTATTCAAAGTCTTTTTTGGTTTCATGTGAATTTTACCATAGTTTTTCTTTTTTTAATTACAATTCTATGTAAAATGACATTGATAGTTTGATAGGAATAGCATTTAATCTATAGATTGCTTTGGGCAGTATAGCCATTTTAAAATATTTTTCCATTTGTTTGTGTCATCTATGGTTTCTTTAAACAGTGTTTTGTAGTCCTTGTAGAGATATTTTGCCTCCTTGGTGAGATGTTTTCCTAGGTATTTTATTTTTTGTGTGATTATTGTAAATGGGATTGAATTCTTGATTTGTCTTTTAGCTTGGACACTTTTCATGTATGGAAATGCTACTGACTTTTGTACATTGATTTTGTATCTTGAAACCTTGCTAAGATAGTTTATCAGTTCTAATAGCGTTTTTGCGGAGTTCTTAGGGTTTTTAAAGTATAGAATCATATTGTCAATGAGAAGAGAGAGTTTTACTTCTTATTTTCCTATTTGGATGCCTTTTATTTCTTTCTCTTGCCTGAGTGTTTTGGCTGGCACTTCCAGTACTGTGTTGAATAGGACTGTTTGTGTGTTTTGGTAGTTTGTGTTTCTCAAGGAAATGGTCTATTTCATCTAAATTGTTAAATTTATGGGAATAGAGTTTGTCATAGTTTTCTTTATTTTCCTTTTAATGTTTATGGGATCAGTATTAATGACCTCTCTTTCATTTCTAAATTGTGTCTTTTTTTTCTGTTAGCTTTGGTAGAAGTTTATCAATTTTATTGTTTCAGTGAACCAGTTTTTAGTTTGATTAAATTTACGTGTTGTTTTCCTATATTTATTTTTACTGATTTCTGCTCTAATTTTTATTATTTCTTTTCTTATGTTTGGTTAGGCTTAAGTTGCTCTTCTTCTTCTAGTTTCCTAAGATATAAGCTTATATTATTGCTTTTAGAGCATTTTTTCCATTCTATATGCAATTAATGCTGTGTGTTTTCTTTTAAGCATTATCTTTGCTGCATCCCACAAAGTTAAGTTATACTTTATTTACATTTAGTTAAAATATTTAAAAATTACTTTTGAGGCTTCTTTATGTGTTATTTGGGAGTGTGTTCTTTAATTTTCAGATGTTTGAGGATTATCAAGCCATCTTTCTGTTGATTTCTAGCTTAATTTCACTGTTATCTGAGAACACTGTATGATTTATAAGTTTTAAAAGATATATTCTATGGTCCAGAATGTCATCTATCTTGGTCAATGTTCCATGATAACTTGAAGAAAATGTGTATTCTGCTCTTTTTAAAATTGAGTATACTATAATTGTCAATAAGTTCAAGTTGATTAATAGTGTTGTTCAGTTCAACTCTATCTTCACTGGTTTTCTGCCTATATGATCTATCGGTCACTGACAGTGGGTGTTGATAGGTGATACAGACCAACTCCTTGACAGACACAAGCTACTAAAACACGCAAGGAGTCATATTCAACACAGTACTGGAAGTAATCTACCAGTTATTGACAGGGGATGTTGAAATGTGCCTATTTTGGCCAGGCACGGTTGCTCAAGCCTGTAATTGCAGCACTTTAGGAGGCCAAGGCAGGCGGATCACTTGAGGTCAGGAGTTTGAGACAAGCCTGGCCAACATGGTAAAACCTTGTCTCTACTAAAATTACAGGTAATCCTAGCTACTTGGGAGGCGGAGGCAGGAGAACCGTTTGAACCCGGGAGGCGGAGGTTGCGGTGAGCTGAGACTGCGCCGTTGCACTCCAGCCTGGGCAACAAGAGCAAAACTCCATTTCAGAAAAGAAAGAAAGAAAGAAATATGCCTATTTCTCCGTTCAGTTTTATCAGTTTGGCGGTCATTTATTGTTAAGTTTATTTTGTCTGAAAGTAATATAGCTACTCCAGTTTTCTTCTCATTACTGTCAGTATGGTATATCCTTCCCTGTCCCTTTACTTTTAACATGCCTTTATATTTAAAGTGGATTTGTTATAGACAACGTAGAATTATGAATTGTTCTTATTGTCTGTAATTACTTTGATATTCTCTTTTAATGTATTTATAGCACTTATATTTAAAGTAGTTATTGATGTAATTGAATTAATAGCAATCATGTTTGCAACTGTTTTGTATTGATTGGCAGGGCTTCTGCCTTTTCTGGTTTTAAATGAGCATTGTACGTTGTCTTGTTTTGTCTCTTTCTTAGCATATCACTTATCCTTCTTTAAAATGTTTTTAATGCTTTCCCTAGAATTTACAATATTCACTTTTACTAATCTAAGTCCACCTTCAAGGGACACTATTCTGCTTCAAGTATAGGTCAGGTTCCTTATAGTAGAGCATCCCTAATCCCTTCCTCCTGTTTCTTGTGACATTGCTGTCATTCATTTCACCTGTCAATATGCTGTACTATCCCAATACGTTGTTACTATTGTTATTTTAAACAGAGTTAGCTCTTACATCAATTAATAAGAAAAATAAAATATTTTGCCTTTATTTTTTCTATTATGCTATGCCTTTTGTCACGTATATCCAAATTTTTGACATGTGTCATTTTCCTTCTTTACAAAGAAAACTTTTCCCCATTTCATCTCAGGGAATCAGAAACGGAGGGAATTTATTAGTGGTGAGTTCCATCAGTTTTTGATTGTCTGAGAGTCTTATTTATGCCTCCCTTTGAAGGATAATTTTGCTGGAATTCTGGTTGGTACTTTTGTTTTCAACAGTCACTACTTCACTCTACTTTCTCCTTGCTTGCATGATTTCTGATTTTTTTTTTAATCTGCTGTAAATCTTACCTTGTTCTTCTAGAGGTAAGGTGTATTTTTCCTGTCTCAAGAATTTATTTTGGTTTTTAGTCTCCTGCAATTTGAATATAATATGCCCAGTGGGTTTCTTTTTTAAAATTTTTAAATTTAAATTTAAAAAATTTTTGAATTTGTGTAGTCCAAAATTCTGAAAAGTTCTCAGCTATTACTTCAAAATTCATTTTGCTTCATTTGATACTTCTTCTAGTATTCCAATTATGCATATACTAGATCTTTCAAATTGTCCCATAGTTCTTGGATATTGTCATCTATTTCTTTATCCTTTCTTTCCTTTTGCATTTTAGTTTTAAAAGTTTCTATTGACCGCTCACTAATTCTTTAGACTTCTAAGTGTTAGAGAGACTATCAAAGGTATTCTTTATTTCAGTGCAGTATTTTTATTTGTAGCATTTCCTTTCATGCTTTTCTTAAAACTTCCATTGCTCTGCTTATATTACAGGCCTTTTTTTTTTTTTTTTTTTTTTTTTTCCTGACAGCATCTTGCTCTATTGCCCAGGCTGGAGTGCAGTGGCATGATCTCAGCTCACTGCTATCTCTGCCTCCCAGGTTCAAGTGATTCTCCTGCCTCAGCCTCCCCAGTAGCTGGGATTACAAGTGTGGGGCACCATCCTGGCTAATTTTCGTATTTTTTAGTGCAGACAGGGTTTCGCCATGTTGGCCAGGCTGGTCTCAAACTCCTGACCTCAGGTGATCCACCCACCTCAGCCTCCCAAAGTGATTACAGGCATGAGCCACCATTAGAGCCGTTAGCATATTCATCATAGTTATTTTAAATTGCCTGTGTAATAACTCCTATTTTGTGTCAAATCTGAGTCTGATTCTGATGTTTTGTGTGATAGGAATTGAGGTCAATAAGTCTTAAGTGTGAGATTTTTATTCATCTGGTTTGGATTGGGCTTCATGTTTTCTGTAGCTTTATATACTAGATATTGCAAATTCCTCTTCCTTCTTGATTTTGTGTATCTCTAAGTACTCCTACTCAGAAAGAATCTGTCTTGGAGCACTTTTAGCTGTAATCTACTGTTAGTATATGGGAGTCCTATTGGTGTGGGAATAAATATGGAAGAGAAGGATTATTCTATAATATTCCAATTAAATATCAGCCTTATAGTAGGCCAATGTCTCTGGCTTGTGACTTCCACAAGGTTGTTTGTTGTTGTTGTTGTTGCTGCTGCTGTTGTTTTTGGTATAGGGTATTAGCTTGTATGTAATATTGTTTAAGTGTGTCCCGCCAAAAGCAAGTGTTGGAAACTTAATCCCCAAAGCAACAGCATTGGGGGGGTGAGGCCTAAAGGGAGATGTTTAGGGCATAAGGGCCCCACTTTCATAAGTAAATTCACGCCAATGATAAAAGCACTTGAAGCTGTGAGTTTGATCTCTTATTACCGCTCTTGCTCTTCTGCCTTTGCCGTGGGATGACACAGCATGAAGACCCTCACAAGATGCTGGCACCTTGATATTGGACTTCCTAGCCTCCAGAATTGTGAGCCAATTACATTCCTGTTCATTATAAATTGCCCTGTATATAGCATGCTATTACAGCAACACTAAACAAACTAAGATACCAGGGTTGCCATAACAAGGTAAAACAGACTGGATGGCTTAAACAGCAGAGATTTATTTTTTGAAATTCTGGAGCCTGGAAGTCTAAGATCAAGGTGTGGGCATGGTTGGTTTCTTGTGGAGCCTGTTTCCTTGACTTATAGATGGCCATCTTCTTCCTGTATCTTTCTTTTGTGTGTGTCAGTGCCCTAATCTTTTCCTTTAAGGACATCAGTAATGTTGGTTAGGGCCCACCCTAATGACCTCATTTTAAATTAATTACCTCTTCAAAGACTCTATCTCTAAATACAGCCACATTCTAAGGTACTAGGGGTTAGGAGTTCAACATATAAATTTGGGGGGAACATTGTGAATTATAGGGAGACACAAATCATCCTGTAACATATAGATTACTCCTGTCTTCCCATAGATGTGACAGAAGAGCTAGAGGAGACTGGAATGAGAGGAATGTCCTCCCCCATGGCTCTTGAATAGGCTCTGATGAATTCTTTTAACCTGGAGAGTAGGCTTTTGTTATGGAGAAAGCTCTGGGTGCATTTCAAGGCTTACTCTTCTCTTCTCCCTGCTAGAGCCATAAACAGCTCTTTCTTGGACTTCATCTGGTAGGGTTTCTAAAAGTAAAGCCCAGAAAAATGTAGGAGTCTTCTAAGACCATAGCTTCCAGGACTTTCTCATTGTCATGTGAGTCCACACTCAGCCTCCAGCAATTCATGAAAATTATCATGTAAGCATTCATACCAGTTTATAACTCCAGTGGCTTCTGCCTCAGTTAAGCAGATCCAGGCTGTCTACATTCACCTGTCTTTCCAAATTTCAAAGTGTCGGTTTGTCCTGCAAATTCAGTTCTCGGATGGGTCCAAGAAATGTCATAATTTTCAGTTCGTTCAACTTTATCTTGTTGCAAAAAAGGGAGTTGCAATGGTTAATTGAATATGTGAACTTGACTGAGCCCCACAGTGCCCAGATATTTGGTCAAACATTAGTCTGGGAGTTTCTGTCAGGTTGTTTTGGGATGAGATTAACATTTAAACTAGCAGAATGAATAAATCAGATTCCCCTCACTCATGTAGGAGAATCTTCTCCAATTAGTGGAATGCCTGAATAGAAAAAAAACTAGACCTCCCCCAAGTAAGAAAATCCTTCCTGTCTGTCTAACTTCTAACTGGGATGTGGGCTTCTTCTTCCCATCATACTGAAACATCAACTCTTTCTGCGTTGCTAACCTGTTGGCCTTCAGACTGGAGCTATATCATTGGCTCTCCTGAGTTTCTAGCTTGCCAATTCCTGCTGCAGATTTTGTGGCTTCTCAGTCTTAATAATTATGTGATAAATCTTTATAATAAATCACTCTTTGTTTCTGTTTCTCTCTTTGTGTGTGTGTGTGTGTATACATATATATTATATATATATATATTTTTTTTTTTGAGATGGAGTCTTGCTCTGTCGCTTAGGCTGGAGTGCAGTGGCATGATCTCGGCTCACTGCAAGCTCTGCCTCCTGGGTTCACGCCATTCTCCTGCCTCAGCCTCCCAAGTAGCTGGGAGTACAGGCACCCATCACCATGCCCGGCTAATTTTTTTGTGTATTTTTTTAGTAGAGACGGGGTTTCACTGTGTTAGCCAGGATGGCCTCGATCTCCTGACCTCGTGATCTGCCTGCCTTGGCCTCCGAAAGTGCTGGGTTTATAGGCATGAGCCACTGTACTTGGCCATATGTATATATGTTTGATACATACACATACACACACATATTATTGGTTATATTTCTCTGGAGAATCTTGACTAATACAGGAGTAATGATGTCTAAGCTCTTTACATATTGGAGATAAAATTGGAAGTTCTGATTATATATTAAATTATTTACTGAGAATTAAAAATAAAAAGACACTGCAACTGTCCCCAAATAGATGTGTCTCTTTTCTCCCTGCTGTATGAGAAACTCCAACATTTTAGAAATTTTGTTTATACTTTTTGATGATTTTGTGAATTACATATATAATATTATTAAATTTTTGGAATATGAATCTACTTGTCCAATTTTATTACATTGTATTAAGCTTTATCACAACTATTTAGTTTTAACTCTACATTATATAGACAGTTAAACTGTTCATGTTTAATTTTTTTCTACCATGACTTAACAGGTTTTTTATTTGGATTGATCTCTCAGATAGCTGAACTATATCTGACTAGATATTTCAGGAAGAATTTCTGGTTGCTATAATTTCCAGGTCCTTGAATGATTAAGAATATTCTGGTTTCCTTCACACACAATCACTAGCTAGTTTGGGAATGAAATTTTTGTACTTATTCTGCCCTAAAAACTCTGTAGACTTTGCCTTATGACTTCTGCCATTTAGTGTGCAGAGAAGTTTGAGGTCCCCTAAGAGTTTTTGCTTTGATAGGTGACTTCTTTTTGCTGCCTGGATGGTTCTAATATTTTTTATCCTTGAGATTCAAAAGTTTCATCAAGATATGTCTGGATGTTGGTCTCCTGTCATTAATTTTGTCTGTAATTCCTGACCCTTTCAATTTTAATACTCAAGTGTTCCTACTAGACAGGAAATTTTTTTAATTATGAAATATTTAAAGCATAAAGATAGAGAATAAGATTTTATAATACATACTCCTTTCTACCACTCAGTTTTAATAAATTATCACATTTTGCCACATATGCCATCAATAATTTTGTAATATACAAAATTGTACACTGATGATTGAAATTTGTTGTGTATCCTTCTATCCATTTCTCTTTTAAACCTAAATGTAAACTAGTCTGATTTTTATATCTATATTATATATTTCTTTATCATATATATATGAATTCAAAGATATCTAAGTTACTATATTACATTTTTAACTTTACATATGGAATCATATTGTGCATATGTTTCTGAATTTTTTTCCAGTTTATGCTGTTTTTGAGACTTTCCTATGATGGTAGCTGTACAGGTATAAGAGTTTCTTTAGATTTTTGTACCAAGAAGTGGAATTCCTTATGCTAGGCATGACTGTCTTCAATAATAATATTAAGGAGCTAACCCTTATATAGTTTTTATTATTTCCTAGGCACTATTTTTGTTTTTGCTTGTTTGTTTTGTTGTTGTTGTTGTTGTTGAGACAGGGTCTCAGCTGTTGCCCAGGCTGGAGTCCAGTGGCGTGATCTTGGCTCACTGCAGCTTCTGCCTCCCGGGCTTCTCCTACCTCAGCCTCCTGAGTAGTTAGGATGACAGGCACTTGCAACCATGCCCAGCTAATTTTTTTGTTTTTTTTGGTATTTTTGGTGGAGATGGGGTGTATTTGTCCGTTTTCATGCTGATGGTGAAGGCATACCCAAGACTGGGCAATTTAAAAAGGAAAGAGTTTTAATGAAGAACTCGCACTTCCACATGGCTGGGGAAGCCTCACAATCATGGCAGAAGGCAAGGAGGAGCAAGTCACATCTTACATAGATGGCAGCAGGTAAAAAGAGAGCTTGTGCAGGGAAACTCCCCCTTTTAAAACCATGAGATCTCATGAGACTCATGCACTATCATGAGAACAGTGGAGGAAGAGACCCACCCCCATAATTCAGTCACCTCCCACCTGGCTCCTCCCACTAACACATGGGAATTCAAGATGATATTTGGGTGGGGACACAGCCAAACCATATCATGGGGTTTCACCATGTGGCCCAGGCAGGTCTCGAACTCCTGAGCTCAAGTGATCCTCCCGCCTTTGCCTGCCAAAGTGCTCGGATTACAGGCATGAGTCACTGTGCCTGGCCCACTAGGCACTATTCTAAATACTTAACCTATATAGACTCATTTAGCTTTTCAGAACAACTCTCAGGTTTAAGGTCACATAGATATAAGTGAGAGAACCCGGATAATCTTTTCCAGAGTCTGCACATTTCATTTATTGGGCAAAATGTTTTCTACTTCTTGATTGAATTGTAGTATTCTTTTTTCCAGAAATTTGTTTTGTCTGAGTTTTCAATTTTTTCTTGTTTTTCATTATATGTTTTTATTATCTTTATCACTTCTGCTGTATATGTATTTATGTCTATTTTTAGATTTCTAATATTACACATTTTCTCTTCTTTGAACATATGAAATATGATTATAATAATAGGCACTTTAATATCCTTGCATGATAATTCTAGCATCTCTATCAGTTCTGGGCTGGTTTCCACTTACTACTTTTTCTCCTTATTATGAGTCAAATTTTCCTCCTTCTTTTCATACTTGATAATCTTTAACTGGATGCCAAACATTGAGACTCTTATCTGATATATTTATATTCTGATAAATATTTTTGAACATTGATCCGGGATGCTGTTAGGTTTTGTGACAACAGAGTCATCCTTTTGGGTCTTGCTTCATAGATTTGTTAGGAGATACCATGGCTTCTGATTTAGTCTTGGGCTAATTCCTCAGCACTGAGGCAACACTCTTCTGCGTACCATAATCAGTGCCCCATGAATGATGAAGTTTTCCAGTCTGAATGGTGGAAGGAGGCACTATTCCAACCATGTCTTGTGAGAGTTCTAACTACTGGTCTCTCTAATTCTTGGGATGGTCTTTTCCCCAGCCTCAGAGAGGATCCTTTTGCATGTACATGGGTCAAAATATTGGAGGAAGACCCTTCGCAGATCTCTAGAGTTCCCTCTCTATGCAGCTCCGTCCTTTCTGGTGTGCTGTCCTGCAAACTCTGGCTGCCCTTGGTCTCCTTGGATTCTCAACTCTATCTCTTCCTATCAAGGAGAATTCCACCTGGGTTCAATCTCTCTAAACTACTGCCTGGAAACTCAAAATTGCTGGGGCAATCATAGGACTCACTTTGTTTGTTTCCCGTTATTCAGAGACCTCTGTTCACACTGCCTGGTTGATATCCAGAGTCTTGAAAACCATTATTTTAAATATTTCTTCTGTTTTTGGTCATTTTATGTGGAGGAATAAATTTAGCTTTTGTCATACCATTTTGGGTTGAAGTAAAAGTTGTCCTCTTCCAGAGAAATTTGAATTATTTGTTTTCTTGTTGTTGAGTTTTGACAATTTTTTATGTTTTCTGGCTACAAGTTCTTGGTCAGAAAGGAGATTAGCAAATATTTTCTCCCCACCTGTAAGTTGTCTTTTCATTCTCTTAATACTAAGAAAAAGTTCTAAATTTTAATAAGTTTATATTATAAAAGTTTTCTTTAACAGATAGTACTTTACGCATATGTCTAAAAATCTTTTGCTAACTTCAAGGATGCAAAGAGTTTCTCTAAATTTTTCTTCTAGAAGTACTACTTTTATGTTCCATATCTGGTCAATTTTGAGTTAGTTGTGCTATAAAGTATGGTGGAGATTCCTTTCTTTTGCATATGAAAATCCAGTTTGTCCAGCATCATTTCTTGAAAAAACACTCTTGTATTAAATTATTTTTGTGCCTTTGTCAAAAGTTATTTGACTATATTTGTATGATTCTATTTCTCTTCTCTCTGTTCCAATGACCTATGTGCCTCTCTGTTTGCCAGTATCATGATGACTTGATAGTAAGTCTATATAGCTTTATAGTAATGTAAAGTCTTTATAGTTATTCTTGAAATTAGGTAGTACGAGACCTCCAACTTCATCTTTATATTTCCAAATTGCTTGACATTCTAGTTCCTTTTCCTTTTCATATAAATTTTGAAATCATGTTGTTATCTATAAAAAATTTGGCTGGTGTTTTGATTAAGTTTGTATTGAATCTATGGATCCATTTGGGAGACTTGACTTCTTAACAATATTTAGAAGTTGACTTCTTCTGTTTTATGAACATGTGATACCTCTTTATTTAAGTCTTTGATTTCTTTCATTGGTATTTTATAGTTGTCAGCTTACAGATTTCACATGTATTTTGTTACATTTATAAGAAATTTTGGTGACATTTAAATGATAATTTTAAAAATTTCAAATTCAGTGTTTATTTTTTCAGTGCATAGAATTATAGTAAGTATGTAAATATATGTGACCTTTTATCCTGAGAACTTTTAAGAACTTTTATCCTAATCACTTTTTAGTTTTTTGTAGATGATTTTAGATTTTTCTACCTAGAAAAATCATATCATCTGTGAATAAAGACAGTTTTATTTCATTCTTCCCAGAATCATGTCCTTTTTATGCCCTTTTAATCATGTCTTGTTGCAATGGTTAGGACTTCCAATATGATATTGAATAGGAGCTATAAAAGAGAATATCTTGTATTTGTTCTCATGGTATGGGAAGAACATTTAATTTTTCACCATTAAAATTGATGTTAGCTGATGTTTATTCTTATTCTCTCTCTCTCCCCAACTTTAATTTTTGTAAATGTTTCTTATCAGGCTAACTAATTTCATTCTTAAGTTACCGAGGTTTTTTTTTTTTTAAAGGATGTGGATTTTATCAAATACTTTTCCTGTAATTATTGAGATAGTCATATAGATTTTCTCTTTCATCTGTTAAAATGATGAATACATTGATTTTCAAATTTTGAGGACTACTTTAATTTAGTTCCTGTATTCGAGGTGTCCTGGATCTTACAGTAAGTATAAGTTTGAGTAAGTTACAGTAAGTGTAAGTGTTAAGCATTCAGGATCAGCCAATGGTTAGAGCTTCTCACGGAAAACTTCCCTGTGTTCTATGGAGCTATGTCAGACACAGATCTTTTTGTTTTCCTGATGAAGATAGATTTTGTTTCCCCCCAAGCCCACCTTTTTTACTGAAAGTAAAATCACTTTCAGGGTATGCAACTTTACGCAGAGTTCTCAAGTTCAGGTACCTGTCAGGAGTTGGCACAAGTGTCATTACACACTGATGTCTGATTTTATTTTATTTTCCAGGCATTTGCTCCTAGAGCATTATTGGTTTCCAAGATCTTTTATCATTCTGATTTAATAATCTAGGTTTATCTTTTTTAAATTCCTGGGATTTTTTTTCTTAGATTATTGAAAATGTTATGATGCAATTTAAGTATGTTTCTCAGACTTTGGCATTTTGGTGTTTTTCAGTTGGATATCTTTTCAGAAGATTTAAACTACTGACTGTCAAGAGTGATTGCCCTGGTTTGTTGATTTTATTACTTCATTTAAACTTTTGATCATAGTTTTAAGTGTAACTCTTTAGAACAACAGATAACTTTTTTGCTTTTAAATCTATCCTGAGAATCTCTGTCTTTCAGCAGATCAATGTAATCCATTTATATTACATTTATTATTGATACAGTCAGACTCTTTCCTTTGGTTTATTTTATCAGTGTCTGCCTTGGATATTCTGAAGATCCCAGTCAATTGCCTCTGCCAAGAATGTAACTTTTCTTTTTTCGCTAGAGAATTCTTTGGCATAAGAAACCCAAAGCGTCCAGGTAGCTATTATAGCTGAAAGCTCAATGAGATTCTTGCTGTGACTCCTATAGGAAGTATCGGCCTCTTTTTGGGAACCAAGACTTGTAAACCTGCAGAGGCCAGAGTTGTAATAGACAAGAAGCCCAAATTCTTAAGTGGGATACTGGAAGTAATGATGAGCAGGACCACTCCTTCCACCCTTTGCTCCTGTGTTTTCTACCTGTTGGAGACCTGGAATCATTCAATAATCACTGATTGATATGGTTTGGCTGTGCCCCACCCAAAATCATCTTGAATTGTGAGCCCCGTAATCCTCATAATCCCCATGTCAAGGGCGGGACCAGGTGAAGGAAATTAGATCATGGGGATGCTTTCCCCCATGCTGTTCTCATGATAGTGAGTCTCATGAGATCTGATGGTTTTATAAGCATCTGGAATTTCCCCTGCTTGCTCTCACTCTGTCCTGCTGCCCTATGAAGAAGATACCTGCTTCTCCTTTGCCTCCTGCCATAATTGTAAGTTTCCTGAGGCATCCCCAGCAATGCATAATTGTGAGTCAATTAAACCTCTTTCCTTTGTAAATTATCCAGTCTTGGGTATTTCTTCATAGTAGTATGAGAACAGACTAATATATAGGGTATATGTTCCACCCTAGAGAATGGTGCCTCCCTTGGTAGATACCTCTGAGTTGATACCTTAGCTATGTTCTCAACAGACCATTTCATTACTCTATTAAGACAGTAGTAGCTTCTGGGTGATGTGGAATATGATATTACCAGGGAATTTGTGGTCAGGTACAGACTTATGAACCTCTTTTGTGTAAAGTGGGCCGCTTAGTCTAGTTCAAAGACTTGTGGGGGCCTGTGCCGCTGGGCTCATAGATAGCTTCCATCTCTGCCACCAGGTAACTCGGTTCACATGCTCACTTTGCCAGCATCAGCATGGCCAAGGGCAGATGCTCTCTGACATTCACTGGCCACATTATTTTTTTGTACTTGGCTTCTTCATGCACCTTACATG
This sequence comes from Homo sapiens, assembly GCF_000001405.40. Classification (NCBI taxonomy): domain Eukaryota; kingdom Metazoa; phylum Chordata; class Mammalia; order Primates; family Hominidae; genus Homo; species Homo sapiens. The sequence continues at coordinate 16,235,250 of NC_000010.11, read as the reverse complement.
CTAGACGCTTTCTGGCAGGCGATACCATGCAGTCAAAGATCTCTACATTTCATGCCCACTCCTGCAGGCCAATCCACAGACCTCTTCCCAGAACTCCTTGTCTCTAATCTAATCTTTTTCCTTCCAGACTCTAGACCATCTGGCCAACTCATTTGCCACTGACTATAAATCTGTATATATTCTTATCTCAGATTTTGCTCACTAAATGAATGATCAGACTCACTGCTTGAGGCTTTGCCCATTGGGAGGACTTCCTGGACTACAGCATTTCTTTCTAAGCCAACCCTGAATAGGGCAGCAGAGAAGGTGCTGTCCATTGTTGGTTTGCACCCATATACTGAGCCAACCCATTAGCTTTCTTTCCTCCTCCTTCCTATCAGTTACTCATAAAAGTTCCCGTAATTGCACTAGGCTGCTGGTAAGTTACATACATCCCTTGACTTGCTGTAATGGGACTGTCTTCTCCAGAATATAAGCTCCTATAAGAGAGATTTGTTTGGTTCACTGATATATCCCCAATTATTATGCAGCACCTGGCTCAATAAATATTGGTTGAAAGGATAACTGTTCTGAATGGAATATTTTGTTCCCTTTTACTCCTCAGGAGCTTTCACTACCTGCTTCTAACCTGGAAACAACTTACTACTTAGTATTTCTATTTCCTTTGATGTTCATGTAGATTTTTTATATGGAGTTCCACCTGTGTCTTTTGGTTTTCTCTCATTATACTTTATTGTTGGTATTTGGAAGGAGAGTGCACACAGCAGAAAATTACTTCACAATTTTTATCAGAAGTTACTTTATAACTTCTTTGGGGTGTTTTTTATTTGTTATTTTTCTTCCTTGGAAAGATTATTGTATGATATATTGGGATTTGTATCACCTTTTCCATGATTATTTAAATATACTCATTTTTTTTGCTCTTTTCATCATTTTCTGCTGACTTTTGGAAGGAATGCTAACACTTATCTAATACACAGCTCTGTTTCAGTAGTATTCAATTTGCTGTTTCATGACTTTGTTGATCTTTTTGCTGTTTCATGACTTTGATCTTTTTAAATACAGAAATGGTGTATTTATGTCCTCCTGTCTTTACTGATTTTAGTTTGTTCATTTATGATTGTCTGGACTAGTTTCCTAATTATTTTCATTGTAAAATTAATATGTGCCTCACATATTTTCCAGGTGCATAAATGAATTATATTATTTGAAATGCACAATAATCCTATTTGGTAAATATTAACACCCCAATTTACAAGTTGAAAAATTGAGACAGGACAGTTTTAGTGATTTACTGATGATCATAAGTAGCAGAGCTGAGCTTTAAACTTGTTAAAGCACACAGAGTCGTAACCACTACTCTACATTGCCTGGAAGTAAGTAGTCACTTCTTTTGATTTTCTTGAGAAAATAGATTAGAAAATGGCTCAGTTGTTCTGTTTCCTGCAGCAAGGATTTGGTAGAAGACTTTCATGTTGATTCCTCTGTATGCTCCCTTGTCTTTGGACTTCAACACCTTTTCACATATCTATGACCTGCCCCCTCCAAAGTTATATCCATGGCTAGTGTTGCAAGCCAGTTTGGTTTTTCTCTCGGCTATTGTGACCCCTGTTCAAATACTCCAGACCTTGTAGACTGGGGAAGAAGGAATCTGTGGGTTTATTCTGGTCTTGTGTCATACTTCAGACATCCGGCAACTTGTGGAGAAAAGTGGGAAATAAGAATGGAAGAGTTGCAACCAAGAGGTCACCTTCTCTGCTCAAGGGTCTCTTTTCCACATTTGACATGGCAGCTGTAGTCTTTACCCAGCCCAACTGGTGGGTAAAGACTTTACAGGGCCCCTCTAACTGTGCAATAGGGACTCCTATTGCAAATGAAAATTGAGTAAGCATCACTTTGGGTTTCCAGTTAGATATGTACTGTGCTGCCCGGCATATCTCCCAGGCATATCTCCCAGGTCTGATGAGACTGAGAGGAAGTTCCCAATTGACCCACAGCCTACACTTATTTAAGATTTTGCCTGTCTAATTAGGGAAGGCTGGTGGAGTTTCACCACAGAGCCTCTGAGGCAAACCATGACTTTTCATGCAGGCAGTACATCATCAGGATAGTCCTCATCTTTGATTCAGTTTCATTTGCAGAAATATCCAAAAGTTTCAGGTGTGAATCTAGAGTATCTACTATCCAGCAAATAATATAGTTTGTCCTCTTTTTTTTTTTTAATTCCGCTTTAATAGGAATCAAGAAAAGTTGTCTAGAAGAGTTAGATACATTTACTCAAATTCGCTCTTTTACTCAGAATTCTAAGTTACCATTAGGTGAAAATTACACTATAACTTTTGAAATTTTCCAGATGCGGTGTTCTCAAGTTTCCAGTTAATAGTTGCATCCATGTGATGAGAGAGGACTTTGAGTTTTGGCAAGGCCCTTGCAAACACTGTTCATAGAACTCCTGTAAATTCAACAGAAGGCATGATTAGGAGGGTTTACTCCTGGCAGATGTGGGGTCTTAGCAGAAGCACAGAAGGAAGAAGCTAGCTTCAACTGTCTGAAACTGGCTGTGTTGGAAAGGCTGTGCTGAGATGAGCAATCTATTTAGAATGACTGCTGCTCATCTTTTTAACAAGATAATCATCTGACAGCAACATGGAAAAGCAGATGTAGCATTTTAAGGGATATACGGCTTTTTGAACTCCACATGCTTTCAAACTCTGATATTATTTCCAATGAACCCTAAAGTCAAAGGAATAATCACTTTGAAATTCTTGCACAATGGGAAGCCCTGAAGGAAGCTGAACATCTGATTTTCACTAAAGGAGAATCCTGAAAGCAAAGCATCCTATAAATTGGAATTTTTGCTTCCTCTGTTGTCTTCCATAGGGTCTCTTGCCGCTTTGCTAAATATCAAAGATATTTATGCTTAAACAAATGTTGTCTCCCTCTCACTGCATTCCCTCCTTCTGGCAGAGAAGTCATCACACTGAATCGGTGGCTCTTTCCCATGGCAACAGACTGTGATGTCAGAAATGTGGTGCCAAGCAATTAGATTTTGTAGGTGCCACAGTTGGAAACATGAAACTCCAAGGATGATGGTGAGACAGAGCAGTTGTTGTAGAAGAAAAAACTCAGGAAGGACTGAGTGTCTAATGTGTTCTCTCAAAGGCCTGTTGCTGAAGGAGGGTGGCAGCAAATGAAGTCGGAGAGGGGAAGAGGGATACAGTGTTCAAGACAAGATTTCAAAGGAGAAGCAAGTTGATGATGGAGAGTTGCAAAAGGCCACGTCCAGATGGCTGGCACTCTGCCACGTGCCGTGGCTTTGATGCTTTACAGGTGTTCTCTAAGGCGTCGAAGGCGGAAGCTCCAGGGACCTGCTGTCTGTCATTGAAACAGCCAGAGGACTCAGGACCCAGAGAAAGAGCAAACTCCCTCTCCTTTCATTCCCTTCCGCTCTTGTAGGAATGTGGGAACTTTCACAGTTTTGCTGTTTTCAAGAAAACGGCACCTTGACAACATGACCTTTGAGACCTACAAGCTGAGGGAGCTGTAGGGAGAAGGATGATCTGAGATGGGCAACAAAAACCTTCCAAGAGGAGGCAATGGGTGAGGACCCTTCATGTTGCCAATAGGAGCGATCTGGGAATATTTTGAAATGGACTTTTAAAAAAGCTGAGTCTGTTTTTTGGAGGTTCTTTGTCAAATACACAAGAGAATGAAACCCATACCTGTGAAAAATCATAGATGAAGTTTTAAAATACACATTTCAGTGATACAGTATGGATAAATTTGGACTGCATATGGCTTCTTATGTAAAAGAAAATTTCTTCTCCTTTTAGTAACACATTGTCGGCTGCCTGTGCTTTGCACCTTCTGCCATAAGCTCCTTAAAACAAGCTGCTGCAATTCAAGAACTAGCCCTAGTAATTAAGATCAAATGAGCCAGATGAAGAAAATGAGCTGGGTGAAACACATGCCAGTGGAACCCAGCCTTTTCATATTTAAAAAGAGAGCCAGAAAAGAAAGAAAAACAGCTATTTGTCGATGGACTATGTGGAGGATTTAGATGCAGTCTCTACTCAGGATTATTGTTAACATTTATACGTATATTTTAAATGATTCTGGGCTTGATTGATTAGCTCTTGTGAAATACAGTGGATGTGGGCCGGGCATGGTGGCTCACGCCTGTAATCCCAGCACTTTGGGAGGCCAAGGTGGGTGGATCACGAGGTCAGGAGTTCGAGACCAGCCTGACCAACATGGTGAAACCCTGTCTCTACTAAAAATACAAAAATTAGCTGGGCATGGTGGCGCATGCCTGTAATCCCAGCTACTCAGTAGGCTGAGGCAGGAGAATCGCTTGAACCCAGGAGGCGGAGGTTGCAATGAGCCGAGATTGCGCCATTGCACTCCAGCCTGGGTGACAGAACGAGACTCCATATCAGAAAAAAAGAAAAAGAAATACAGTGGATGTCACTGGATCCCAGGGCATTCCTGTGGAATAAAAATAGTAGTACTGAAAACTCAACTAAATGCAATTTATTTCAGGAAAAAAAAAAACAACAACATGGAGCAAATTTTTAATTTTTTGGAGGTTAAAAATTTTGGAGATTAACCTTAAAGGACTTTGGAGATACTCAGCCTTTTATCTTCATGTTATAAACTGAGAAGATGAGATTCAGAGAGAGAGAATACCTTCCCTTTGGCCACTGAGATAGAGACAGAGCTCAGATTAGGACGTGTGGTTTTTGACTCACTATTTCAGCAATTTTCTAACTTGCGTGTGTATCAGAAACCACTGGAGGGCTTGTTAAAATACAGATCACTGGGAAAAACTTCAGACTTTCTCATTCAGCAGGTCTATGTTAGTCAGAGTGTATACATTTCCTTTCCAAACAAGTTTCTAGGTGAAGCTGAGGCACTCAGCTTCTATAATCCACTCTTGAGGAACCACTGGTTTTGTTCTTTTTTTCTTTACATTGGGATTTCTTAAAGTGTAGGGTGACCTATATCAGAATCACCAGGAGAGGTAGTTATTATAAATATAGATTATATAGTGCATGTCAGAGTTACTGAATCAGAATCTCTGGAGGTAAGAGGCTGGTGTCTCCATTTTACACTGCTGGTAAATTTCTATATATGCCAAAATTTAAAAATCATAATACCTAACCACACTGCTGCACTTCAAAAAGTCAAAGACCAAACTTTCCAGTGAGGTGATGAAATTCACAGAGTTGCTGAACTTGTACTCCATCCTCTGAAAACTCCAAGTACATAGCCAAAGGGATGAAGAAAAATTAAAAAGCTGCATCCAAGGTGGAAAAATGAGAAGGGTGTCATACCTGTACCAAACACTTCGAGGATTTTTGGTGAGATATTGTACAAATGAGAACTAACTGAGCAAAATGTTAAAGAGACATCTTAGCATCTAGAGAAAGCACTACACTGGTAGGGTAAGTCAGGATTTATATATATATATATGCCAGCCGGGAGCGGTGGCTCATGCCTGTAATCCCAGCACTTTGGGAGGTCAAGGTGGGTAGATCATGAGGTCAGGAGATCAAGACCATCCTGGCGAACTTGGTGAAACCCCATCTCTACTAAAAATACAAAAATTAGCCGGCTGCGGCAGTGCATGCCTATAGTCCCAGCCGCTCGGGAGGCTGAGGCAGAATTGCTTGAACCCAGGAGGCAAAGGCTGCAGTGAGCAGAGATGACAACACTCCACTCCAGCCTGGGCGACAGAGCGAGACTCTGTCTCAAAAAAAAAAAAAAAAAAAAAAAGTCAGAGCCCCACTAATACTCACTAACAATAGGGGAGGAAGTGGAAGCTAATATGAGGCAGAGAGTGTAAGATGTGAAACCCCTTCCCCCACTTGGAATAAGCTGCATTCTACAGAAGTAGCATGGAGATTCCTGGGTTTCCATGGTAATGGCCCACAGAGAGTCAGTTGTACGTGAGGGTCTCACGACTTAGCCAAAGTACCAGGTGGGCTAAGTGAGGTATGGAGGCCTGGAAGCACCAGCCCAACAGTTTTGCTTGGTAACAATTACAAAGGAAAAACTGCTCAGAGATAGGATTCCTCTGCTCGGGGCTCCCCATATTCCAGGCTTTATCTACAGTTACACAGGCTGAGCGATAACTGAACTGAAAATTTTACTAATCAGCCTGGTGGTTTAAGCCCTGCAGGAAGATTGTAACTTCAAATTGGTGGATTGTGAGGGAATTCAGGGAGTGCACATCTGCCTGACATAGGAGGAAACCCAAGTCTGGATGAACTTTTTCTGCTTTGCTATGAGACCCAAGATATATCAATAAAGTTGTTAATCGTTCATGATAAAAATAGAAAGCTATTCTGAAATATGTGAGGGTTCATAGAGGAAACACACCTGTGCTCTTTCTAAAAATAAGGCGTATTACAGCTAACCAAATAATGAATATGACAAGAAATATTCCAATAGAAAAACAGGCAAGAAGCCTGAATAGGCAATTCACAGAAAACAAAAATAAACATATGAAAAAATCTTGTTTCACTAAAGAAATGTAAATTTAAACAATGAGATGCCAACTTTTTGCCCACCATTTTTGCAAAAATTTTTAAAAGTGGAAACATTGAAAAACATATGAGGAAATAGGCATTTATATTCTTCTGGAGAAATTGTAGGGAATTTAGAATATAATCTGAGAAGGCAACTTTATAATATACATCAAAAGTCATAGGCGTTTATACTTTTTTTTTTTTTTTTTTTTTTTTTTTTTGAGACAAGGTCTCACTCTGTCGCCCAGGCTGGAGTGCAGTGGTGTGATCTCGGCTCACTGCAACCTCCACCTCCCGGGTTCAAGAGATTCTCCTGTCTCAGCCTCCCGAGTAGCTGGGATTAGAGGCACGTGCCACAATGCCCAGCTAATTTTTGTGTTTTTAGTGGAGATGGTGCTTTACCATGTTGGCCAGGCTAGTGTTTATACCTTTGAACTGATAATTCCATTTCTAGTAATTAATTCTAAATCAGCAATAATAATAAGAGACACAAAAAGATTTACAGGTAAGGATGTGCATTTATATTAGCGTATAGCTTGAAACAACTTAAATATCCAAATATATGATATAGTTAAATGAAAAGCAGTATGGAGTTTCTTCAAAAACTCAAAAATAGAATTAGCATATGATTCAGCAGCCCCATTTCTGGATATATATGCAAAAGAGTTGAAATCAGTATGTCAAAGAGATATCTGCACTCCTGTGTTCATTTCAGCATCATTCATAATAGCCAAGATATAGAAGCAACCTAAGTGTTCATCAACAAATGAATGAGTAAAGAAAATGTGATAGATATATATACACAAAAGAATATTATACAGCCCGGAAAAAGGAAAATTCTGTCATTACGACAACATGGATTCTGCCTTGGGGACATTATGTTAAGTGAAATAAGTCAGACACAGAAAGGCAAATACCACATAATCTTACTGTGTTGGCCCATTTTGCATTGCTATAAAGGAACACTTGAGGCTGAGTAATTTATCAAGGAAGAGGTTTATTTGGCTTGCAGTTTTACACGCTGTCCAAGAAGCATGGTGCCAGTATCTGCTTCTGGTGAGTCCTCAGGAAGTTTCCAATCATGGTGGAAGGTGAAGGGCGAGCAGACACATTACTCGATGAGAGGGGGAGCAACGATGAGAGGAGAGAGGTGCCAGTCTCTTTAACCAGATTTGGTATGAGCTCATTATCACAGGGAAGGCACCAAGTCATTCAAGATGGATCCGCCCCCATGGCCCAAACACCTCCCATCAGGCCCTGCCTCCAACACTAGGGATCACATTACAACATGAGGTTTGGAAGGGACAAGCATCCAAACTATATCACTCACTTATATGTGGAATCTAGAAAAATAAATCTCATAGAAACAGAGTAGAATGGTGGCTACCTGAGGCTTGAGAGGAGGAAAAGGGAGATATTGATCAAAGAGTGCCAAGTTTCATTTAGGCAAGAGGAATTAGTTTTGGTGATCTATTGCACAGCATGCTGACTATAATGAATAATAACATCTTGTATATTTCAGAATTGCTAAGAGAGTAGATTTAAATGTTTTCAGTGTAAAAATATAAGTAGGTGAGGTGATGGTTATGTTAGTTTATTTATTTTTAATTTATTATTTTTTTTTGAGATGGAATTTCACTCTTGTTGCCCTTGCTGGAGTGGAGTGGCACAATCTCAGCTCACTGCAACATCCGCCTTCTGGGTTCAGGTGATGCTCCTGCCTCAGCCTCCCGAGGAGCTGGGATTACAGGTGCCTGCCACCATGCACGGCTAATGTTTTTTTGTGTGTGTATTTTTAGTAGATACAGGGTTTCACTGTGTTGGCCAGGCTGGTCTTGAACTCCTGACCTCAAGTGACCCACCTGCCTCGGCCTCCCAAAGTGCTGGGATTACAGGTGTGAGCCACTGTGCCCAGCCTGTTAGTTTGATTTAATCTTTCTATAATACATATATCTATATCTCAAAACATCACATTATACCCTATAAATATTTACAATTATTGTTTTTCAACTAGATACATAAATTAATTTAAACACTTAAAATAGTGCTACATATCTAAAGTGAACCACCACACTGCCATAGCAGTTCCTGAAGAGTATTTAAGGATATAAAGCATGCTCACCATTTTAAAATGATACATTAGTTTAGTAAATTATATAACAAGTTTACATAAAAACTCAATATGTATGAAAGAAAAAGGACTAAAAGGATATACAGCAAAATTTTCTGTATTTTCCACACTTTGTACAGTGACAACACTTTTTTGATAGTTTAAAAATATTGAAAATAGTCAATGCCTGGTTATATGAATTATTCTACATTATTACAGTGGAATACTATTAAAAACTGTTAAAAAGACAGAAGCAATGTATGGTTATTGATACAGAATAATCACAAAATTAATTATTAGGTAAAAAAAGTGAAAAATAGTGTATGACTATGTTAAGAAATAAGAATTTTAAAACAAGTCGGCTGGGCACAGTGGCTCACGCCTGTAATCCTAGCACTTTGGGAGGCCAAGGTGGGTGGATCACCTGAGGTCAGGAGTTCAAGAACAGCCTGGCCAACATGGTGAAACCCTGTCTCTACTAAAAATGCAAAAATTAACTGGGTGTGGCAGCGGGCACCTGTAATCCCAGCTATTTGGGAGGCTGAGGCAGGATAAGTGCTTGAATCCAGGAGGTGGAGTTTGCAGTCAGCCAAAAACGCGCCACTGTACTCCAGCCTGGGAGACAGAGCGAGAATCCGTCTCAAAAAAAAAAAAAAAAAAATAGAATTTTAAAACAAGTCAGATAGAGCTAACACCGACTACATTCTCACTCCAAGCATACAGAAATGGTGAATAAAATATAGTAATCAGAATTATTTTCTATATGTATGAAGCTCACAAAAAAGCGGGGGGAGTCCCTTTTCAAGAAATTAAGAGGAAATGGAAATCAAGTCACTAGGTTCACAAAATGAGAAATCTGCCATGATCTGTGGGAGTATTAGACTTAGAGGTTTTAAAGATTAGGGTCTGAGGTTTTAATGTCAATGTAGTGATAGACAATGTAGCCTTAGCACCCAAGAGAATGATCTGGAAATAATATCCCTTCAGTAACGTTAGAATAGTTAGTTGCTCCTTTGTGGATCAGGGACTATAAAAGCATTTAAATTAGAGAACAAAAATTTTGCCTTAAGATTATGGGTAAAAAATAACAGTACCCTTAGAGTAATTGAAACCTCAAACATGTGGCATATTCGCTATGGAGTCTGAATTTACAATGACATCATAGTTCAAAAATTCGAACTTGAGAAATTAACATAAAACTGGTTTTTGTCCAGGGAACTTCTAGGGTCAGCTGGCAAAGGCATATGTAAACTCACTCTGTTGGGACATTTCCATAGAAACTGTTTTAGAAACTTTAGACTCCTTCTAACAAAGCAGACTTTGGAAACAACAACATTAACTTTCAAAGAATTTGAGGTAAGAGAACAACCTGAAAAAGACTTTCAGAAGAGCTTTAAAAATGTTTAGGCTGGGGATGGTGGCTTATGTCTGTAATCCCAGCATTTTGGGAGCCTGAGGACAGAGGATCACTTGAAGCTAGGAGTTCAAAACTAACCTGGGAAACATATCGAGACTCTGTCTCTACAAAAATTTTTAAAAATCAGTTGGGCATGCTGGCACGTGCTTGCAGCCCCAGTTACTTGGGAGCCTGAGGTGGGAGGATTGCTTGAGCCCAGGAGTTCAAAGTTAGAGTTAGCTATGATTATGCCACTGCACTCCAACCTGTCTGACAGAGTGAGGCCTCAGCACTGGAAAAAAAAAAAAAAAGTATAGGATGGTAGGTATTAAACAGGGCCATTGAATGAAACAGTTTTCAAAATGAAAATGAGGTACATTTTTAGAATTGGTGAATTGAAATATATATTTGAGGACGTTGCACAAAATGCAGTTCTGAAGCTGATGAAGAGACATGAAGGATAGAGTGAAAAGTTCCAACATGAATCTTACTGTAGGACCTTAAAGACAGAAGAGAGCTAGTGGGGGATAGACTGGGAATTTGTAAAGTGACATAAGACTTTCTTTTAAAGAGTATAATAAAAATAATTCCCCATCTAGACTCATCATAGTAAAGCTGCAGCTCACCAAAGGTAGACAGAAAAGTTAAAAATCATCATCATAAATTATAATAAATGAAAAGAGACATGGTAAATAGAAAATGAAATAAATTTAACTATACTAGTAATCCCAATAAAGGTGAACAAATGTATTTACTAAAAGATATTTAAATGTGTCCATTTAAACAGCATATACATATATATATACATTTTTAAAAGTTTAAAAAGTAAAGGGATAAAAAGATGGGAAAAAATTCTGGCAAACACAGAACATAATAAAGTTGTATAGGGATATTACAATCACCCAAGCAAAAAAATTAACCACAACAAAACAATAGGGAAAGGATTCCCTATTTAATAAATGGTACTGGGAGAACTGGCTAGCCATACACAGAAAATTGAAACTGGACCCCTTCTTTACACCTTATACAAAAATTAACTCGAGATGGATTAAAGACTTAAATGTAAAACCCCAAACTATAAAAACCCTAGTAGAAAATCTAGGCAATACCATTCAGGACATAGGAATGGGCAAAGATTTCATGACAAAGACACCAAAAGCAATCACCACAAAAGCAAAAATTGACAAATAGGATCTAATTAAACTAGAAAGTTCCTGGACCCCAAAAGAAACTATCATGAGAGCAAACAAACAACCCCATTAAAAAGTGGGCAAAGGACATGAACAGACACTTCTCAAAAGAAGGCATTTTTCTGGCCAAGAAACATGAAGAAAAGCTCAACATCACTGATAGAGAAATGCAAATCAAAACCACAATGAGATACCATCTCACAGCAGTCAGAATGGTAATTAGAATGCTTTTACACTGTTGGTAGGAATGTAAATTAGTTCAACCATTGTGGAAGACAGTGTGGCAATTCTTCAGAGACCTAGAAGCAGACATACCATTTGACCCAGCAATCCCATTACTGGATATATACCGAAAGGAATATAAATTATTCTATTATAAAGATACATGCATACATATGTTCATTGCAGCACTATTCACAATAGCAAAGACATGGAATCAACTGTTGTGGGGAGTCAGGGACCCTGAATGGAGGGACCAGCTGGAGCCACAGCAGAGGAACATAAACTGTGAAGATTTCATTTTAATATGGACACATATCAGTTCCCAGAATTAATACTCTTATAATTTCTTGCGCCTATCTTACTTTAATCTCTTAATCCTGTTATCTTCGTAAGCTGAGGATGTATGTCCACCACAGGACCACTGTTGTGTTAAACTGCACAAACTGATTGTAAAACATGTGTGATTGTAAATCAGTGCACCTTGAAAATGAACGGAATAACAGCGATTTCAGGGAACAAGGGAAGACAACCATAAGGTCTGACTGCCTGCAGGGTCAGGCAGAATAGAGCCATATTTTTCTTCTTGCAGAGAGCCTATAAATGGATGTGCGAGTAGGAGAGATATCACTAAATTCTTTTCCTAGAAAGGAATATTAATAGTAAGAACCTAGGAAAAGAATTGTATTCCTGGGGGGAGGTCTATAAACGGCTGCTCTGGGAGTGTCTGTCTTATGCAGTTAAGATAACGATTGAAATACTACGCCCTGGTCTCCTGCAGTACCCTCAGGCTTATTAGGGTGCGGAAAAAACCCCACCCTGGTGAATTTGAGGTCAGACCAGTTCTCTGCTGTCGAACCCTGTTGTCTGTTAAGATGTTTGTCAAGACAGTACATGCACCACTGAACATAGACCCTTATCAGGAGTTTCTGATTTTGCCCTGGTCCTGTTTTCCCAAAAGCACATGATCTTTGTTCTCCTTTTTGCCCTTTGAAGCATGTGATCTTTGTGACCTACTCCCTGTTCATACACCCCCTCCCATTTTGAAGTCCTTAATAAAAACCTGCTGGTTTTGCGGCTCAGGTGGGTATCATGGACCTACCGATATGTGATGTCACCCCCAGTGGCCCAGCTGTAAAATTTCTCTCTTTGTACTCTTTCTCTTTATTGCTCAGACTGGCTGACACTTAGGGAAAATAGGACCTACGTTGAAATATTGGGGGCGGGTTCCCCCGATAATCCACCCAAATGCCCATCAGTGATGGACTGGATAATGTGGTACCTATGCAGCATGGAATGCTATGCAGCCATAAAAAAGAATGAGATAATGTCCTTTGCAGGTACATGGATGGAGCTGGAAGCTATTATCCTCGGCAAACTAATGCAGGAACAGAACACCAAACACCAGGTTTTCACTCATAAGTGGAACCTGAACAATGAAAACATATGGACACAAGGAAGGGAACAACACACACTGGAGACTGTTGGTTGGGGTCAGGGGGTGGAAGAACAACAGGATAAATAGCTAATGCATGTGGGGCTTAATAGCTAAGTGATGGATTGATTGGTGCAGCAAAGCACCATGGCACATGTTTCCCTATGTATCAACTTGTACATCCTGCATATGCACCCTGGAACTTAATTTTTTTTAAAAGGTTATCAATTAAAAAAGATATCTAAA